>NC_000001.11:51978077-52129592 GCF_000001405.40 Homo sapiens | reverse complement strand
ACCAGTATTTTGCAATTGCAATGTTGCAGTCAATAATTTTGGGCATATGTGTTTTTCTGTTGTTGTAGATGTATCTTTAGGGCAAATTCTTAGTTTTGCCTGATCAAATAATGCATATGTAGTTTTGTTAGATATTACCAAATTCCCTTTCCAAAAGGTTGTACCTCAGTGCTACCACTGTCCCTCTCTCCTACCAACACCCATACTTTCTGTCAAACCTGATACAATAAGATATAATAACACTTTCAAGACTGTGTAATGGGAAAAGCTTTGGAACAGACAGACATGAGTTCAGTCCTGAGTAACTACTGGATATGAAGAGAAAGACTTGTTTTCCCATCAATAAAATGAGGCTAATGTCTGCTACAATATACAAAGGAATTGGCACATAGTGGGTGTTCATTAAATGGTAGCTGATGTTATTTATTATCTGAATCACTCTGGGCAAGTGGAAGTAGTGGTCAAGGTTGACCAGCACTGATATCCTGGATTCCTTGGGGGTAAAGAGTGGACTATGCAAACTGGAACTGTAGATGATGCTGACCGTAAGAAAGCATATAGAGTTGAGAATCTTGGAAGTTATCTAGGGTGCAAAAAGAGAATAGATCAATCTAACCAGAAAAGAGGCCAGAAGCAGATGCTGAAAGCTAGGGTATAGAACCAGAAGTTAGAAGATGCAGGCAATGAAATCACCAAATAGTTCATTAATTCAGCCAGTTAGTCAAATATTTATTGAATGCTACCATGTACCAAGCACAGTGTTCTGTGGTAAGCAAGGCACTATTCCTTACAGATGTTAGACTCTACTGATGGAAGCAGATGAGGAAATAGGCAATTACAATCTTAAGGGGTAAGTGCAGTGTGTTCTAGGAACACAAATCAGGGGTATCTAACCTGAACTTAGGGATCAGGAAAAACTTCTTAGAGGAAGTGTCACCTAAGTTGAGACCTGAAAAATGTCCAGGACTTTGCTAGGTGAATTGGGTAGAGGGAGGGAAGACAGTAGATAGGAAAAGAGTTTTTTGGGCAGCATAAATAGAATGTGCAACAACCTAGAAGCAGGAGAACACATAGTATGGTATGCCTGAAGAACTGAGAGGACAATTTTGGCTGAAGCAGAGAGTACAAAGTTGGGAAGCAATGACAGCCAAGACAGAGGCCAAATCAAGAAAGGTCTTCTAATTCTTGTCAAGGACTTTGGATTCTATCAGCAGTGAGAAGCTGTTAGAGCTTTTAATCTGGTCAATGATGTTAACAGATTTGATTTTAGAAGAGATCACAATGGTGTTAACAGATTTGATTTCAGAAAAGATCACAATGGTGTTAACAGATTTGATTTTAGAAAAGATCACTAACTGCTATGTAGGAAATAGATTAGAGGACACAGACTTGGAGGCAGGGAAGCCACTTATAAGTGTTTATTGCAGTCATCCAGGCAAAAGTGATGGTGACCTGAATTAGGTAGAGGAGGGAAAATACAGATTTCAGGAAGTAAAATCATCAAACTCATGATTGGATTGGCACGTGAAAAAGAGGGAGAGGTCAAGGATGACACTTGGGTTTCTGGGTTGGGTAACTTAGTAGTCAGTGCTGTCAAGCAGGGCGACAGCAGAGAAGGAGAAGGCTTGAGGGAGAAGATGATGAATGCTATTTCAACATGTTGCCAGATTAGGAAACAGGTTCAGAGAGGTGAAGTTGCCTGTCCAAAGTGACTGTAAGTGGCAGAGCTAAGATTCCAACCCAGGTGTGACTACAGATTTTCTTACTGCTTGAGCATTGCCACACCTTCTCCCACGCTCAGGGTGGGAATATGCACCAAGCACCAGGGAGAGGCAAACTGCTGAGACCACTTCTAATGTGGGTGAAGTGCTTTCCTGTCAGTTAGATTTGACTGGAGAATAATGGAAGAGGGTATTCCCACAAGCATAATTATTGTTATTAACATTCTGTCCATGATGACCCACACTGCCATCTTCTGGTGCCAGTAAGGAAGCATTAGGATACACTTGACAGTGGGGAATGTTTATGTTTTTTCATAAGAATTCTGTATGAGGCAGTATGGCATGTATGGTACAACGGAAAGACCCTGGGCTACAGTGTGAAAACCTGGGTTCTAATGATGTAAACATGGACTGGACTGAGGAGGAAAGTTGTGTAGGCATTTGAATCTCTGGGCTTTTCCTCAGGGTATCCAGTTCAGTCAGAGCTCCTTTAGCCTACCAACCTATTTGAGACTGCCCACAAGTACAGAGATAGTGTAGTGGAAAGAGCTTGTGTTTTGCAGTAAGCAGATCTGAATTCGAATTACAGCTCCACTAATTTCAGGTTGACTGGAGAAAGTCACTTATTCTGAGCATTGTTTTTCTGATTTGTATGGTACATAGTTGTAAGGGCTAGCAAGAAAGTGCCAGGTGCATGGTAGGCACTCAATTAAAGTTAAGTATCTTCCCTTGCCTTCTCTTATCTTTTAAACCTAAAACACTGTTTCCCATCACTATCTCTGGCAGCTCCAGAAAAGAGTTAACAACTACTTCATACCCTTTCCTGTTCTTTCCAATGTACATGTATTCTCTCATAATCAGAAAACCAAATAAAAAACATTTTGTTGTACAGAATAGACCAGCCAAATAGTGAGCATCCGTTGTGGCCAACATTTATTTTATTTGAATGTGCTGCATCTCGGTTGTGCACATGAACAAATGATGTGGACTCGTGTGTGTTCTCATGTGAATGTGAATTCACTTTAATTCTGCAAACACTGAGCTCTACCTATGATCCAGACACTATAGGAATAAAGAGTTGGGTGAAAATAGTGTTTTTGCTTGGTTTTGAATGTATGAGCATATGTGCTTTGGCTGAAGGAAGGGAGGATTCATAAAATTGAGGGATGTATGAGGTGAAAGCAGTGAAGGGCTGACACTAGCTCCAGTTGGCTCATGAGAGGCAATTGTTAGATTTTCGAAACTTTGTGAGCCAATTGTTAAACATTGCCATAATAGTTAGAAGAGAAGATTTGAAATGTTCCCGACTCAAAGAAATGATAAATCTGTAAGGTGATGGATATCATAAGTACCCTAATCTGATCAGTATATACTGTATGGAGGTATCTAAATATCATATATACCCACAAATATGTAAAATTATGTATCAATTAAAATGTTTAGTTAAAATTTAAATTATATAAACTTACAATTAAATTATGTTAAAAACCAAAGTAATAAATACAGGCAGCCCTTGCTTTGCACAGTTCTGAAATGCATGAATTTTAGTTACCATAGTTAACAACACAATTCAAATTTCATTTATCACAATATAGTAACTATAAGTAATTGCACACATTACAAACTTTGCTGCTGGCTCTTCAGTCCATGCATCACTATGTAAATAACAGATGCACATTATGATCAGTCATCAATCACACCACTTCTTTCAAAGTCAATCAGTGATAGACTTTGGTCTATCACTGCATATTTGTTATTCAGTTCTTTAACAAACAGCAAAGGATATATTGTGTTGCCTCCTTTTCTACCAGTAATAAAACTCACATGACATTTTAGAAAAATGAATAATCAAAAAGGGGAATTAGAAAAAAAAGATCAAGTGAAGTAAAGAAATGAAAAGTGATAAGGCTGGAAGTGAAACTTGAAGTAGTTGAGCATGGAAATTTTGACACTGTTCCCATTTGAAAGACTTTAGATATGTAACCAGAGGAACTTAGTGAAGGCAAACTTTTGAAAAAAATGAAGAAAATGGTTATAACCAAAAGGATGAAGATGTCTTAGAGACAGTAAGACCAGCAAAAAACTTCACATTAAAGGAACTCTTTGGCCAGGTGCAGTGGCTCACACCTGTAATCCCAACACTTTGGGAGGCTGAGGCGGGTGGATCATTTGAGGTCAGGAGTTCAAGACCAGCCCGGCCAACATGGCGAAACCCCATCTCTACAAAAAATACAAAAATTAGCTGGGCATGGTGGCAGACACCTGTAATCCCAGCTACTTGGGAGGCTGAGGCAGGAGAATCACTTGAATCGGGGAGGCAGAGGTTGAAGTGAGCCAAGATTGCACCACTGCACTCCAGCCTGGGCAACAGAGCGAGACTCCATCTCAAAATAATAATAATAATAATAACTAAGTAAATAAGTAAGAGAACTCTTAGAGATACTTCAAGACATTGAGAGTACCAAAAAATTTTTGATTTAAACAGGTTTTTCAAAATATATATTGAAAGTACAAAGAATAAGATGTTCGGAGTGGACCAGGCACAGTGGCTTAGACTTGTAATTCCAGCACTTTGGGAAGCCGAGGCAAAAGGATTGCTTGAGGCCAGGAGTGTGCAAGACCAGCTTGGGCAATATGGAAGACCCTGTGTCTACAAAAATAATAAAATTTTTAATTAGTCGGGCATGGTGGCTTATGCTACATAGTCCCCACTACTCAGGAGGCTGAGGCGGGTGAGGACTGCTTGAGCTCAGGAGTTCAAGGCTGCACTGAGCTACAATAGGGTCACTGCACTCCAGCCTGGATGACAGAGCAAGACCCTGTCTCTAAAAAAGTAAAAATAAAATGTTGGAAGTGGATCCAAACTTAGAACTAGGACCATGTTCCAAGCATGGAAACGTTGGTCACTCATAAATTATACAAAAACAAAGCAAGCACTATTCAAATTACCATTGATACTTTTTTTTTTTTACAAAGAAATACTTACTAATGTTTCAAATTTATTGTTTTTAATTAGTATACCATATCATTCAATGGGGAAAAAATAGTTTTCTCAACAAATGGTGCTGGGGGCCAGGCACAGTGGCTCACATCTATAATCCCAGCACTTTGGGAGACCAAAGTGGAAAGATCACTTGAGGCCAGAAGTTCAAGACCAGCCTGGGCAACACAGTGAGACCCCTGTCTCTAAAAAATATTTGAAAATTATCTGGGCATGGTGGTGCATACCTGTGAGTCCCATCTACTCAGGAAGCTGAGGTGAGAGGATTGCTTGAGCCCAGGAGTTTGAGGCTGCACTGACCTATGATTGCACCACTGCACTCAAGCCTGGGTGACAGAGCGAGACCTGTTTCTAAAAAAATAATGAAATGATATTATTGGCTGGGCACAGTGGCTCACACCTGTAATCCCAGCACTTTGAGGGGCCAAGGTGGGTGGATTACCTGAGATCAGGAGTTCAAGACCAGCCTGACCAACATGGTGAAACCTTGTCTCTACTAAAAATACAAAAAATTAGCCAGGCATGGTGGTAGGTGCCTGTAATCTCAGCTACTTGGGAGGCTGAGGCAGGAGAATTACTTGAACCTAGGAGGTGGAGGTTGCAGTGAGCTGAGATTGGGCCATTACACTTCCAGCCTGGGCAACAAAAGCAAAACTCCATCTCAAAAAAAAAAATTAAAAGAGGGCCGGGCGTGGTGGCTCACGCCTGTAATCTCAGCACTTTGGGAGGCCCAGGTGGGCAGATCACAAGGTCAAGAGATAGAGACCATCCTGGCCAACATGGTGAAACCCTGTCTGTACTAAAAATAAAAAAATTAGCTGGGTGTGGTGGCATGTGCCTGTAGTCCCAGCTACTCGGGAGGCTGAGGCAGGAGAATAACTTGAACCTGGGAGGCGGAGGTTGCATTGAGCCAGAGATCATGCCACTGCACCTCCAGCCGGGCAACAGAGCGAGACTCCATCTTAAAAAAAAAAACAAATTATTAGAAGAAAACATAGATGTAAATCTAACCAGGGATTATGCAGTGATTTATTTATTTATTTATTTATTTATTTATTTATTTATTTCTCTCTCTTTCTCTCTTTCTTGACAGAGTCTTGTTCTGTCACCCACCCAGGATGGAGTCCAATCTCGGCTCACTTATGCAGTGGTTGCTTAGATATGACACCAAAAGTATAAGCAACCAAAGAAAAAAATAAATTGGACTTCGTCAAAACTTAACACTTTTGTGAAGCTGGCTATGGTGGGAATATTTATACCAGAGAAATTGGCAAATGGTGTATATCAGGGCTTGTTTTGTTAAGTGTCTAGACTTAAGAAAGTGATAGAGCAACTGTGAATAATGCAAATGAAACTTAAAATTGTGTTGTGTCTGTAGCTGTTACACTGGGAAAAACATGAAAAAAATTAAGAGCTAATCTTTCAGTATTTGAAAACCGTTACTTGATTCAGCAAAGAAATCACCGATATCATTCATAAATGAGTGAAGTTCCAATAGATGTCTTTGTTTCATTTTCGTCTCATTTGTTAAACCAACATTCATGTCAGAACTACACTTAGCCAGCAGTTAAAACATTTACCAGCACGCCACTGGCTAGAAAGGACAGCACAGATCCTAGAATCCAGCATCTCTTACCATTTTACACGTTGGGCACTGGAGCCCAGGACCTGTCCAGGGTCACAAGCAAGTGAATGAATGAATGGTCAACATTTGAATTGTGCTATTCTTTTACATTTTAACACCACCTCCCTGAGTATCCAGGAAAATGTGTTTTCCTTAACATGCCACAGTGAGGATGGGCAGTGAAGATGTATGAAACAGTTGTCATCAGTTTAGCTAATAAAAAGCCCTTCTCAGGATCACCTGAGCCTGGGGAGGTCAAGGCTGCAGTGAGCTGTTATAGCACCACTGCACTCCACCCTGGGCGCCTGCGCGACAGAGTGAGATGCTGTTTCAACAAAAAATAAAATTAAAAAAGCCTTCCCTCCCAGGTTCTAACAAGGACACATACCTGCCCTGAGGGTAGGAGGAGCCAAGAAAATTAGGACACAAGAAGAGATCTGCTAGGTCCCCCTCCCTGTCTGGGCAGACAGCAGTAGGGCAAGCAAACAAGCCATGTCTTATTTTGAACTTTTCCCTCATTTACACTCTCCCCACTGAGGCACTGAAGAGATACTCAGGCTTCTCTCCAATCAGGAACTAAACAATGGCCTGGCCCCGTGAGAGAGAGTCAGGCTTGAACTTGGCCTTCAGTCCAAAGCCCTCACCTTGGCCTTAATCACTTGGAATATTACTTCAACCTTATCTTATTTACCCAGAGTCTCCTTGGGAGGTGAGCCAGGAATTAATAACAATACACCTTTACTTTTACTTACAGCCCTTTACAATTTACAAGACCTTTGTACATGCACTATCCTTTGTGAGCCCCATAATGGTCCCGTGTGGTGAACAGGAATGGGTTTAGTGAACCTATTTTATAGATGAAGAAATTGTGGCTTGAGGAGAGTACCCAAATTCATGGAGCCAATTTCAGGACTGGAACCCAGGTATGCTGACACAAAATTTAGTTGTCTTCCATGGCACAAAAGTACTGTAACATATACCTAGGGGTATTCAGAGAATTATTCTTAGTGATAGTTATTAATAACAAAAATAGCTATTATTTATAAGCACTCATGTGTCATACTGCATTAATTGCTTCATATACCCCCTCATTTAATCTTCACAGCAATCTTTTGAGGTTGATGCTAAATTCTCCATTTAACAAGTAATAAACTAAAGCTCAGAAAGTTTAAGGAAATGATCTTGAGTCACACAGCAGAAGTGTCAGAGCAAGGATTTGAACCCAGATCTGTTTTCAAAGATTATACCCTTAGCTCTTAAGATAGATGAATGGCCCCCTAACACATGAAACAAAATTTTTGTTAGCAGCAAAGTATTTCATTAGGTGTATCTGGTAATAATACAAAAAGTGAAGAAAGGGCCTGGCACGGTGGCTTCACGCCTGTAATCCCAGCACTTTGGGAGGCTGAGGCAGGCAGATCACTTAAGGTCAGGAGTTCAAGACCAGCCTGGCCAAAATGGCGAAACCCTGTCTCTACTAAAAATACAAAAATTAGCCAGGTGTGGTGGCGGGTGCCAGTAGTCCCAGCTACTTGGGAAGCTGAGGCAGGAGAATCGCTTGAACCTGCGAGGTGGAGGGCGGAGGTTGCGGTGAGCTGAGATGGCACCATTGCACTCCAACCTGGGCAACAGAGTGAAACTCCGTCTCAAAAAAAAAAAAAGAAGAAGAAGAAGAAGAAAGGTCAGGCGTGGTGGCTCACGCCTGTAATCCCAGGACTTTGGGAGGCCAAGGCAGGCAAATCACTTGAGGTCAGGAATTCAAGACCAGCCTGGCCAACATGGCAAAACCCTGTCTGTGCTAAAAATACAAAAGCTAGCTGGGCATGGTGGTGGGCGCCTGTAATCCCAGCTACTTGGGAGGCTGAGGCAGGAGAATCACTTGAACCTGGGAGGCGGAGATTGCCGTGAGCTGTGATTGTACCACTGCACTCCAGCCTGGGTGAGTGAGTGAGACTCCATGTCAAAAAAAAAAAAAAAAAAAAGTGAAGAAAGGAGAAAGAGAAGAAAGGAAACTGAGCATCCACTTTTCATTCACTTAGTAAATATTCCCGAATAACTGCATCTTCAGGACTGTGCTAGGTACTAGGGTTAGAGGGGGTATAAAAGCAGACTTGGTCCTTACATTTAAAGTGCTTATTTCTGGGAAGGTATATAAAGCATTAAGTAAACACAAATGAATATATACTTGTAAATGGTATAAGTCCTGTAATATTATGGATTACTGGGAGAGAGAATAATGGGAGCAGGGAAATCTTTGAGAGACAATAATTCAGGAGGGTCCAGGAAAGTCTTTTTGAGGAAGGGACCTGTCAATTGAGACCTAGAAGGCAAGTTGTGGTTAGTCAGTGGGGCAGCAGGTGCAGTGGCTTGGTGTGAGAAAGAGCCTGAGCATGAGTGGCAAGAGATGAGGCCAGGTAGAGACAGGCAAAAGTCAGATGGAAGTCAGATCAAAGGATTTGTGGCCCAAGGTAAGGATTTGGGATTTTATCTCAAGGACAATGAGGTGTCTTGGAGGGTTTTCAATCAGAGAAAGGATACGATCTGATTTATGTTTAGAATATCATTCCAGCTACGGAAAGGTAATGGAATTGTAGAGGCAAGATTTGAAACAGGGTAACAGGAAGCTCTTTCAGAAATCCAGGCAAGGGCTGGGCACAGTGGCTCACACCTGTAATCCCAGCACTTTGGGAGGCTGAGGCAGGTGGATTGCTTGAGGCCAGGAGGTTGAGATCAGCCTGGCCAACATGGCAAAACTCTGTCTCTACTAAAAATACAAAAATTAACCAGGCGTGGTGGCACGTGTCTGTAATCCCAGCTGCTTGGGAGGCTGAGGCACAAGAAAGAATTCCTTGAACCCAGGAGACAGAGGTTGCAGTGAGCCGAAATTGTGCTACTGCACTCCAGCCTGGTGTCTCAAAAAAAAAAAAAAAAAAAAAAATTCCAAGCAAGAGGGTGATTTGGATTAGGTCATAGTATTGACAGTGGAGAAGGACAACTATAAATGGATGAATTTGAAATTGGTGCCAGATATTATCCTAGATATTGTAAAATATACTTTCTTATTTAAGCCTCACAGCAACTCAATGATAAGGGTATTTTACCGATTTTACAGATGAGGAGGCTGAGGCTCAGAGAGGTTTAGCCTCGGACTGATACTTTCTCTGTACAGCAGTGATCTGCCAGATAAACTGATATTCACAACCCAGGGTAGGTGTCAGGGTGATCTGCATGATAAAGGCTTGTCTGAAATGCTTCAGTCTTCTCCAGATAAAAGAGGTCAATCTACTTAGGGAACTTCTGGGGGGCGGGACGGGGAGGAGGGAGAAGATAATGTCAACTAGAGAACGATGTGTGACATAGAACATGGTCAGGTCATCAGGACCCCTGGATTCTAGTCTGCGTGGCGCTTCCTATAGCTAGGCAACATGAAAAACTTAGCCTCTAGTGTAACAGGCCAATGGATTCGCTTTGCCTGCTGCCTATACAGAACTGATTTATTAAGACAGGGGAATTGCAATGGAGAAAGAGAATTCACACATAGCTGGCTGTGCAGGAGACCGGAGTTTTATTATTGCTCAAATCAGTCTCCCTGAGCATTTGGGGATTGGAGTTTTTAAAGATAATTTGGCGGGTAGGGGCTCCGGAAGTGGGGAATGCCGATTGGTTAGGTTGGAAATAGAATCATAGGGGGCGAAGTGAGGTTTTCTTGCTGTCTTCTGTTCCTGGGTGGGATCGCAGAACTGGTTGAGCCAGATTACTAATCTTGTCTGGGTGGTGTCAGCTGATCCATTTAGGGCATGGTCTGCAAAATATCTCAGGCACTGAGCTTAGGTTTTACAATAGTAATATTATCCCCAGGAGCAATTTGGGGAGGCTCAGACACTTGCAGCCAGAGGCTGCATGACCCATGAACTGTAATTTCTAACCTTGTAGCTAATTTGTTAGTCCTGTAAAGGCAGACTGGTCCCTAGGCAAGAAGGGGGTCTTTTCAGGAAACGGCTATGATTAATTTTGTTTCAGAGTAAAACGTCAAACCATCAAGTGAATTCCTTCCCAAGGTTAGTTCGGCCTACGCCCAGGAATGAACTAGGACAGCTTAAAAGTTAGAAGCAAGATGGAGTCGGTTAGGTCTGGTTTCTTTTACTGTCATAATTTCCTCAGTTATAATTTTTGCAAAGGTGGTTTCACTAGAGAGATGTAACTGTAGATTGAGCTGGAAAAACTCCTTACAGATGGTTGGATATAAACACCCCACTTAACAGATGAGAAAACTAAAGTTCAGAGAAGGGGAAAGGCTTGCCAGAATCACCTAGAATGACAGTGGCAGACTTGGGGCTAGAACCAGGTCTTCTGACTTCCAGCCCACAGGTCCCACAGGACTGAGCTGTGCCATCTCTTAGATGGGCCCAAATATCCTTTCACACTGGAATATTCTGTATCAAACAAATTCTAGATGAGGAAACTGCTTTTGAGTAGAAGCAGAGAGGCAAATCTCATTTCTGCTCCTAGGAGGTCCCAGCCAGAAACATGAGTCTCTGTCTTCCCACATAAACATCTCTTAAATTCCCAAATGTAGCCTGTTCCTGAGAAAACTGGGTCATAAGTCTGGGTTATCCCCAGGATTCTAGACTTATATTCCTTCCTCTCTCCTTTGCGCAGCAGGTGCTCTCTTTCTCTTTTCCTTTTTTTTTTTCCTTTTTTGGAGACAGAGTCTCACTCTGTTGCCCAGCCTGGAGTGCAGTGGCTCCATCTTGGCTCACTGCAACCTCCGCCTCCCGGATTCAAGCAATTCTCCTGCCTCAGCCTCCTGAGTAGCTGGGATTACGGGCATCCGCCACCACACCCGATTAATTTTTGTATTTTTAATAGAGACAGGGTTTCACCATGTTGGCCAGGCTGCTCTTGAACTCCTGCCTCAGCCTCCCAAAGTGCTAGAAGTACAGGTGTGAGCCACTGTGCCCAGCTGCTCTCTTTTCTCTTAAAGCATGCTTTTGGGAAAGGATCTTCTGACAGCCACTTTTACCATGGCATGAATTACAGAGAAGCAAATCCCAATAAGGCAGAGGCTCTAAATTCTGTCTCTCACTGCTGTGTGACCCTCACACAGAAGAGATCGCTGTTCTTCTGTGGGCCTGTTTCCTTGCCTTTACAATAAGAAAGCAATATAATTTCTGAGGGGTTTGCTATCTCTGACCTTATGGGTTTGGAATTTATTAGTTCCACAATTCCAGGTCCCTGGCACAGAGCAGGTTCACCAAAACTCTTGGCTACCTGATGAGGTGAGGCTCATCAGGTGGAATGTCATCAATTGCCGAGTTCCCCCTCCACCAACCTGTGCCCACCCTCCGGCTCCTAGTTCTACTGCTCCTCCAGAGTCTCAGCTAGTCAGAAGCTCCCAGATGCAGATTCTTTTCCTTCATTTCATTCAAAGGAGGAGCTTGGCCCCACCCTTCCCCTTTACACTTGTACTGTTTGAGTATAATTTGAGAGAGGCACCTTCCTGCCTTAAAATATCTCTTTCACCCACTGGGAGGAAATGAGATGTTGATGACAGAGCAAGAGCTTTGGAGTAAACAGGCTTGGGTTTGGATCTTGACCCTTTCACCTTACCAGCTTTTGTGACCTTGTGCATGTCACCCCTACTACCAGATCCTGAGGCCCTCAGTTGTTAGGTGTAACGCCCACTGCGTGCTATGAAGATTAGAGATGTCTGTAAAGTACCTGTGCAAAAAAAGTATATAAGCTTAAGAAAGCCATCCCTCTGGTTTTTTCCCTGAGGTTCTAAAAACCAAAATGCAATGCATTTTTTGCCTTCTACATGCTTAATATATGGTAAATGCTCAGTGCATTTTTTATCTTTTTTTTTTTTCAGAGACAAAGTCTTGCTCTGTCCCCTAGGCTGGGGTACAGTGGTGCAATCATGGCTCACTGCAGCCTTGAATTCCTGGGCTCAAGGGATCCTCCCTCTTTGGCCTCCCAAAGCACTGGGATTATTTATTAGAGGAATGAGCCACTGTTGTAGTCCCTTATTATCATTATAATTACAATAGTGGCCGGGCGCGGTGGCTCACGCCTGTAATCTCAGCAATTTGGGAGGCCGAGGCAGGCGGATCAAGAGGTCAGGAGATCAAGACCATCCTGGCTAACATGGTGAAACCCCGTCTCTACTAAAAAATATGAAAAATTAGCTGGGTGTGGTGGCAGGTGTCTGTAGTCCCAGCTACTTGGAGGCTGAGGCAGGAGAATCACTTGAACCCAGGAGGCGGAGGTTGCAGTGAGCAGAGATCGCGCCACTGCACTCCAGCCAGGGCAACAGAGCAAGACTCCATATCAAATAAAATAAAATAAAATAAAATATAAAATAAAATAAAATAAACAAAATGATACTTCTTTCACAAAAGCCAGATAGGAGGGCCGGGTGCGGTGGCTCACAACTGTAATCCCAGCACTTTGGGAGGCCGAGGCGGGTGGATCATGAGGTCAAGAGATCGAGACCATCCTGGCTAACATGGTGAAACCCCGCCTCTACTAAAAATACAAAAAAATTAGCCGGGTGTGGTGGCGGGCGCCTGTAGTCCCAGCTACTCGGGAGGCTGAGGCATGAGAATGGCATGAACCCGGGGGGCGGAGCTTGCAGTGAGCAGAGATTGCGCCACTGCACTCCCAGCCTGGGCGACAGAGTGAGACTCAGTCTCAAAAAATAAATAAATAAATAAATAAATAAATAAATAAATAAATTGCACTTAAGTGTAAAAAAGTTTCAAATATATTCTTGAGAGTCACTTGACCTAAGTAGGCTGGATGGCCACAGGGAAAGTGCATAGAAGCACTGGGGACCTGAAAGAGAGCCACAAAGATGAGATGGTGAGTGGAGAAAGGAAAGGGGAATGGTAGGCAGTTTCATTAACATAACACATTTTCCATGGGCCAGCATGGTTCTCTGTCGCTGTAGCTATTGCCAAAGGACTCCATTCAAGGGATCTGTTATCACAGGAATTTGAGAGCACAATTCAGGACAGTTAATAATCAAGTAGTAATGCCTGGGAAATTCTCAAGAAATCCTTCTCAGCATCCTCTGGTCAGAAGCTAGAAATCAGAGAGTCACATCTCGGTTTATAAGAATGAAACCAGGCTGAGGCAGGTGGATAGAAACCAGGCTGGGAAGGGTGGATCACCTGAGGTCAGGAGTTCGAGACCAGCCTGGCCAATATGGCGAAATTCCATCTCTACTAAAAATACAAAAATTAGCCAGGCATGGTGGTGGGTGCCTGTAATCCCAGCTACTTGGGAGGCTGAGACAGGAGAATCGCTTGAACCTGGGAGGCAGAGGTTGCAGTGAGCTGAGATCACTCCCGCCTGGGTGACAGAGTGAGACTCTGTCTCAACAAAAAAAAAAAAAAAAAAAGAAAGAAAAAAGGAATGAAACCTGGAGTAAAATAGTAAAATCTGCAATTCCAAATTTGGCACCTGGAGTTCAGTATTAGAATCTCAGACTTTGACAGAACTTGGAGGTCACAAATACAATCTGGAGGTTACAGATTAGAATTTTGTAGTCCAAATATATAATCTTTGATTGCCATTATTGAAATTCCTTAAGTATTGTGGAATCTAACTGTAGGATTCAAGTTCAGAGAATAGATCCTATCCTTTCAATATTAGAATTCTAAGGACCCAAGTAGCAGCTGAGTTCTAATGGTAAAATGCTTAGACTCAGAGAACAAAACCAGAAGTTGCAATAGTAGATTTCTGGACTTTAGTATTAGAATCTCAGACTCTGAATCTGGAAACTGGAGTTCTAATAGTAGGATCTTGTTATGAAAGTAAAATCTAGAGGTTCAACAGTGGAATTTCAGTTTCAGAGAAAGAACCTAGAGTTCCTAAACTAGAATCTTGATTTATAAGAATAGAACTGGGAATTATATTCTTAGAATCTTGCATTTTGATACTGAAACTTTAGTTCCAAGAATGCAATACAGGTATTGAAGTTTAAAATATGAGGTTCAGAGAGCACAATCTTGAGTTCCAAAGAGGTACCTTGAGTTTATATAGTAGAACCTTGAGGTACAATAGTAAATTATGAAATTCTAATATTGGATTCTAGCATATTAGATTAGATTCTAGCATATTAGCATATTAGATTAGGATTAGGATTAGCCTCCAACAGTAATAATGCAATGGCTAACATTTATTAAGTGCTTACTATGTACCTGGCATTGTTGTAGGTGTTTTACATGTATTACTGTTGTTATTATTGCATTTAGTGCTCCAAAAAAAAAAAAAACTGGCAGGTGAATACTATTGTTACCATTCCTGTTTCACAGATGAGGAAACTGAGGCATGGAGAGGTTAACTTTCCAAAGGTCACACACCTGAGAAGTACAGAAATGGTATCTAACCATAAGTAGTCTTGCTCCGGAACTCATGTTTTTAACCTCTGTGATAAGTGCCTCTAGATTCTAGAGTCTAAGAGAACCTTGAATTCCACTACTATAACAACATTTGGGGTTTAGTCAATAGAACCTAGAGTTACTATAATAGAACTATAATTCCAATAACAGCATCTTGAGTTTTGATAATGTAATTTGTATGTCCAATGGTAGAATATATGGCTCACACAATACAATCTGGAGTTTCCAACAAATTCAGTTCTAAAATTAGGGTTCCCATGGCCAGGCACGGTGGCTTATGCCTGTAATCCTAGCACTTTGGGAGGCCGAGACAGGCAGATCACCGGAGGTCAGGCGTTCGAGACCAGCCTGGCCAACATGGTGAAACTCCGTCTCCACTAAAAATACAAAAATTAGTCAGGTGTGGTGGCACGCACCTGTAATATCCCAGCTACCCAGGAGGCTGAGGCAAGAGAATCGCTAGAACCCAGGAGGTGGAGGCTGCAGTGAGCCAAGATCTTGCCGTTGTACTCCAGCCTGGGCAACAAGAGTGAAACTCTGTCTCAAATTAATTAATTAATTAATTAAAATAAAATTAGAGTTCCCAATGAAGAATTTCAATTTAATCCCAACAATTGAAGTCCAAGATTCTACTACCAAAACTTTTGTCTCAACTCTGAACCTTCAGGTCTAATTCCAATAATGGAATCTGTGTTTCTGAGAGTAAAGCCTAAGTTCTTATAGTAGAATTTTAGTTTCTAAGAGTAGAACCTTGAGTTTTAATAGTAGAATCTTCTGGGTAGACTAAGACACAGAAATAGTAGAATCTAGAATTATTAAAGTAGATCAAGTTCCAGGATTGGAAATTGAGTTTCCAATAATGGAATCTTAAGTTTCAGTAGAAGAATGTGAACTCCGATAATAGGATCAGAGAATGGGTTCAGAGAATACAATGTGATGTTCCAAAAGTGGGATATGTGATTCCAAGAACAGACCAGGAGTTCTAATGTTAGAATCTTAGGCCTTGATAGTAGAAACTGTGTTACTAGAATATTAGAATCTGGGGGTTAGGGAATAGAATCTGGAGTTGCCAAAATAGAAGCTGTAGTTCTAAAAGCAGTGTCTTGGGCTTTAATAGCAGAATCTGATTGCCCAATAGGAGGATATGGGATTCACAGAATATAACCTGGAGTTCCAAACATAAATTACTGGATTTGTAAAGTTGAGTCTATAGCTTACTAGACCAATTTCAACAGAATGATAGTCAAATATGGACTAACACTGGTAGAATCAGGTTAGAATCTGGGGTTCACAGAATAGAACCTGGGAATTAATTCTAGGACTGAAAGTAGAACTTGGAGTTGTGATGATGGACTCTTGATCTAGTTGGTTTTCATCTCAGTTTTCAATCCTTATCCTGTGTTAGTACTGGATTTATTGTGCCTCCTTATTAAAAATCACTGTTTCATTGGCTGGGTGCAGTAGCTCACACCTGAAATACCAGCACTTTTGGAGGCCGAGGCAGGCGGATCACCAGAGGTCGGGAGTTCGAGACCAGCCTGACCAACATGGAGAAACCCCGTCTCTACTAAAAATACAAAAAATTAGCCAGGCGTGGTAGCACATGCCTGTAATCCCAGCTACTCAGGAGGCTGAGGCAGGAGAATCACTTAAACCTGGGAGGCGGAGGTTGCAGTGAGCCAAGATCGCGACATTACACTCCAGCCTGGGCAACAAGAGCAAAACTCCGTCTCAAAAAAAAAAAAAAAAAAATTACTGTTTTTTTTCTAGCCTGGGCAACATAACAAGACCCTGTATCTAAAAAAAAAAAAAAAATACAAAAATTAGCTAGGCATGGTGGCACTTGCCTGTAGCCTCAGGAGGCTGAGGCAGGAGATTCGCTTGAGCCCAGGAGTTCAAGATTACAGTGAGCTATGATCATGCCACTGTACTCCAGCCTGGATGAGAGAACAAGACACTGTCTCAAAAAAAAAAAAAAAAATTACTGTTTTTTTGTTCAAAGAGGGAAGATTCTTAATCACAGGGTAAGAGTTAGACTGCCGCTCTTAGAAGTGTGTAGAACTGAAATGTAACTTTCTAATGTTACTGAAGGCTATTTGGCTCTGGATGAAAAGTCTTCCAATCAATGAGCTATGTGATTAGGCCTCTGCTAGGTGCTCTGGAGCATTCCAAAGTGAAGACCTTGTCCTTGATCTGAAAAGCTAACCATGAATAAAGCAATACAAGTCCAACATAGGGAAGAATGTAATCCAGGGCTAAAGTGTGTAGGCTGGCATTATTCTGACACAGGAGAAAGAACGGTGTGGGTTGTAAGCCAGGCACGGTGGGCCCATGCCTGTAGTGCCAGCTACTCAGGAGGCTGAGGCAGGAGGATGCTTGAGCCCAGGAGTTCAAGTCCAGCCCAGGCAACATAGTAACACCCTGTCTAAAATTTAAAAAAAAAGAGAGAGAGTTGCAACTGAAGAGAGAGAGAGAGAGAGAGAGAGAGAAGTGTATATTGCCATAGCTAAGGAGGCTGTACAGAGGAGGCATTCCAAAGGATGGGTAGAATTTAAATAGAGAGGAGGCAGTGCATTTGTGCACTTCAGGTGGGAAAATTCTCAAATAAAAACATGGAAGTAGAATCTAGCATGATGTACACTAGAAATTTTTTCAGCAAAGAAATATTTATGGAGTGCCTACTTATTCACCAGGCACAATGTAGGTCTGGGGGAAACACAAGAGAAAGCACAAGAGATTTCTGTCCCTGAGGATATCATGTAGAAAAAACAATTACAGTGACTTTGGAGTTAGACAGAACTGGGTTTGAAAAGCAGGCACATTAACTTATTAGCTATGCAACTAGGTTAGCCTCTTTATATCTCTGAATTAGTCTGTCTATAAAGAGGATAATATCTTCCTTGAAGAGTGGTTGTGAGGATTCATGATTGTGTCTGTGTGTATAAAGAGGCATATGGGGGATGCTAGGTATTATTATTATTATTATTAGTTGTTTAAACAGAGTTATATACAAAGTATAATGAGACTACAAAGGAGGTAACACTTGAACTGAATCCTGAATAATGGTAGGGTGCACTTGACAATCAGAAAAGAGGAAGGGCATTTCAGGCAGAGGAAACAGAAGTTCTAAAAGTACTGGGCATGAAAGGGAACAAGTAGTGCAGAGGACCTGGTCAGAGGCTGGGGAGCTGGGTTGCAGCCAGACAGTAAAAGGCTTTAGTGCCAGAGTAATGGCCTTTAGGTGATGGCAACCATTGAAATATTGTTAATGGGGGACTCACTCAACAAAAATATATTGAACTGGTTCAGAGCTTCATTGAATAATAGACCACTATAGGAGAGATGGTCTTTCTTACATGTATACCTTACACAAATTTATCAAGAGAGATAGTACAGATACCCAAGATAAATAACAATATTGGCATAGACAGGAAAGAATGAGCTTTAGGCCTGGTGCAGTGGTTCACACCTATAATCCCAGTACTTTGGGAGGGCAAGGCAGGCAGATCACTTGAGCCTAAGAGTTCGAGACCAGCCTGGGCAACATAGTGAGACCTTGTCTCTATAAAAAATAAAATAATAATAATTTAAAAAAAAGGAATGAGCTTTAAAGTTAGAAATCCCTACCATGTTTCACCTATCAAATTTACCTTGTTTCTACCTTTATTTCACCCCACTTGTAATAATACATTTTGAGGGACTTAGATTAGCATTATGTTGAAGGAAATATTGGTATAATGAAAAGGCAAGGGCCCTGGACTAGGTACAACACAATGTGGTTTTTTGCAAGTGAATTCACCTCTCAGAGCTTCAGTTTCCAAAGCTATAAAATGAGGATACTCATCCCTACCTTTCAGTGAGAAGTCATCAACTGAGTTGCATGTGTTGTTTTAATCAAGCTTTTGGAGGTTTAGGAAACTCACTTTGATTATCATAAGTAATAGGAGTTTCTTGTAAGGATCCATGTGGAAATGAAGAAACATGTCTGACAGGGACCTTACAGCCAAGCCCATGTAGAGCGGGAACTTCTGTGCAGTGCAGTGGCTTCAAGCATCCAGTAATGTAGTGTGGAAACAAGATGGATGCTGTGGTACACCTCTCAGATACCCAATTCAGCATTAAGGCAATCCTATCCCCAGCTACTGAGTCATTTTCTGGGAACTGCCATGGCAAAGGAACTGCCCATCCAAGTGTATGACCCCATCCTGGGTGCTGTCTGTATCTAATGAGGGGTTGATGGTGGGATAAGTGGGAGGCTTAAGGGTCTCACCCCTGTGCCTCATTTCCAGATGACTCTAGAAGGTCATTTTGGCTCCTGTTCTCTCTGAAGGGTCAGTGGAGTTTGTTTATAACTGCATCACAGCCCAACTTCTTCCTCCTCTGCCCAGTTACATGCCCTTCACTTCCTCTCAGGTGCTGATCTGAAGAGCATGCCCCAATAAGGCCTCTGCCCACTAATGTCTGATGCAGAGTGTTTGTGGGAGAACCTGACCTAAGACAGGGAACTAGGAGGCAGGTCGAGATCCAAGCAGGAGGCTGTCTCATTAACCCTTCAGCTGTAGGCATTCTTTCCACTGTGGTGGAAAGACTACCTATTGTCTACTTTTCCTGCTTTTGCAGCTATCAACAAACTTCTCTTTTAATTATCCCTTTCTTTGTTTCATGGCTTTTGTTTTCTGCCTCCTGTCTTTCAACTTTGCCCCCGAACCAAATGCTGATTCCTTCATTTAGTCAAGTTTTCACTGTTTGCCTGTTAGGGGCCCAGCAATGTCCTAGACACTAAGAAGGATGCCTAGTGAGGAGGGTGGCGAAGAGGATGGCCCTTCCCTGATAATGATAACTTTATAGGAAATAAATGAGATTAAGTGTGTAAAATCAGTTAGTAAATGGGAAGTCTCTATACAAATGTGAATTCTTTGTACCATAGGAATTCATACCAGGGAAAGGATAATTAGCTGTGGCAAACTGGGAAAGCCAGAGCAGATGAGATATTCCAGGGTCAGCCTGGCCAATATGGTGAAACCATGTTACCACTAAAAATACAAAAATTAGCCAGGTGGGGTGGTGTGCACCTGTTGTCCCAGCTACTCAGGTTGTGGTGGCGTGCACCTGTAGTCCCAGCTGCTCAGGAGGCTGAGGCAGAAGAATTGCTTGAACCAGGGAGGTAGAGGTTGCAGTGAGCTGAGATCATGCCACTGCACTGCAGCCTGGATGAAAGTGATACTCTATCTCAGAAACAAACAGGCTGGGTGCGTTGGCTCCTGTAATCCTAGCACTTTGGGAGGCCAAGGCAGGTGGATCACGAGGTCAGGAGTTCAAGACCAGCCTGGCCAACATGGTGAAACCCCATCTCTACTAAAGATACAAAAAATTAGCTGGGCATGGTGGTGCGTGCCTGTAATCCCAGCTACTTGGGAGGCTGAGGCAGGAGAATCGCTTGAACCCGGGAGGTGGAGGTTGCAGTGAGCTGAGATCGTGCCATTGCACTCCAACCTGGGCAACAGGGCAAGACTTCATCTCGAAGAAACTAAAAACAGGCCAGGCCCAGTGGCTCACGCCTGTAGTCCCAGCACTTTGGGAAGCCGAGGCAGGCGGAACACGAGGTCAGGAGTTCGAGACCAGCCTGGCCAACATGGTGAAACCCTGTCTCTACTAAAAATACAAAAATTAGCTGGGTGTGGTGGCGGGCACCTGTAATCCCAGCTACTTGGAAGGCTGAGGCAGGAGAATCACTTGAACCCGGGAGGCAAGGATTGCAGTGAGCCGAGACTGTGCCACTGCACTCCAGCCTGGGCGACAGAGTAAGACTCCATCTCAAAAAAAAAAAAAAAAAAACAAACAAACAAACAGATAAAATCAGTGTTGGCAAGGACAAAAAACCAAACACCGCATGTTCTCACTCATAGGTGGGAATTGAACAATGAGAACACATGGACAGGGGAACAGGAAGGGGAACATCACACACCGGGGACCGTTGTGGGGTGGGGGGAGGGGGGAGGGATAGCATTAGGAGATATACCTAATGCTAAATGACGAGTTAATGGGTGCAGCACACCAACATGGCACATGTATACATATATAACAAACCTGCACGTTGTGCACATGTACCCTAAAACTTAAAGTATAATAATAAAAAAAAAATCAGCGTTGGAAAGTTTTTCCATGGCCTGGATTCTGGCTAACTGGATTCACCCACGCTCAGCATAACCTGACACTGGTGGTCATTCATTACACAAAGTATATACAAGATATAAATGGGCCGGGCGCGCTGGCTCACACCTGTAATTCCAGCACTTTGGGAGGCCGAGGCGGGTGGATCACCTGAGGTTAGGAGTTTGGGACCAGCCTAGCCAACATGCTGAAACCCCGTCTCTACTAAAAATACAAAAATTAGCCGGGCATGGTGGCAGGCATCTGTAATCCCAGCTATCCAGGAGGCTGAGGCAGGAGAATAGCTTGAACCCGGGAGGCGGAGGTTGCAGTGAGACGAGACTGTGCCACTGCACTCCTGCCTGGGCAACAGAATGAGAAAAGATACAAATGTTCTCTGGGTCAGGCATGGTGGCTCACACCTGTAATCCCAGCACTTTGGGAGGCCAAGGTAGGTGGATCACTTGAGGTCAGGAGTTTGAGACCAGCCTGGCCAACATGGTGAAACCCCGTCACGATTAAAAATATGAAAATTAGTTAGGCATGGTCATGGGAGTCTGTAATCCCAGCTTCTTGGGAGGCTGAGGCAGGAGGATCACTTGAACCTGGGAGGCGGAGGTTGCAGTGAGCAGAGATTGCGGACTGCTCTCCAGCCTGGGTGACAGAGCGAGACATCGTCTCAGAAAAAAAAAAAAAAAAAAAAGATATAAATGTTCTCAAGCTCAAGCTCATTTTTACTAAAGGAAAAAGTCACACTTTCACAATCATTTTTTAGTTATCTAGAGAAAAAAACCTTGATTTATTTTATTTCTTGGTTATATTTTGCAAAAATTGCCAGGTGTGACTGGTGTGCACCTGTGTCCCCATGTAGCCCCCATTACTCGGGAGGCTGAGGCAGGAGAATTGCTTGAACCCAGCAGTTCTGGGCTGTAGTGTGCTATGGTAGCACCTGTGAATAGCGCCCCTGCACTCCAGCTTGGGCAGCATAGGGACATCTGTCTCTAAAAAAAAAAAAAAAAAAAAAAAAAGGAGGAGGGAGGAGGGAGAATGGGAAAGGGAAGGAGAAGGTGAGGTGAGGGGAAGGATGGAGAAGAAGACATATTAAATCTAATATAAGGTATTCAGTCTGGAGAAATAGGAGCCTGATATCTAGAGACCAACGTTCCTTCCGGCTCCGCCACCATATCCTGCAGTGACATAATCTCATTATATTATTGAATGAATGATATGGCAAAAACTGGATGTGAATTTAGGTCTAACTCCTTTTTTTTTTTTGGAGACAGGGTCTTGCTCTGACACCCAGGCTGGAGTGCAGTGGTGTGATCTTGGTCACTGGTCACTGCAACTACTGCCTCCTGGGTTCAGGTGATCCTTCTACCTCAGCCTCCTGAGTAGCTGGGACTACAGGCATGTGCCACCAAGCATGGCTAATTTATTTATTTCAATAGTAGAGATGGAGTTTTACCATGTTGGCCAGGCTGGTCTCGACTCGTGGCCTCAGGTGATCCGCCCTCGTTGGCCTCCCAAAGTACTGGGATTACAGACATAAACCACTGCGCCTGGCCTAAGCCCATTTCTTTTTCACTTGATCTTCATGTTCTCATAAGCATTCCTTTCCCAATCCCATGAAAATTACTTTCTGAGAGGAATAAATGCTAGTAAGTAAAATAGAAAGTTCTCATTTTTGTGCAAAGCTGAAGTACAGGTCCTCTGTAAATGTTAAATAACAATGGTGATAATCTATCAGTGGCAGTGTGCTTAGAATTTATAGAATCAGGCCTGGCGTGGTGGCTCACACCTGGAATCCCAGCACTTTGGGAGGCCAAGGCGGGCAGATCACCTGAGGTCAGGAGTTCGAGACCAGCCTCAACATAGGGAAACCCCACCTCTACTAAAAATATAAAATTAGCCAGGCCTGGTGGTGCATGCCTGTAATCCCAGCTACTCGGGAGGCTGAGGCAGGAGAATTGCTTGAACCTGGGAGGCGAAGTTTGCAGTGAGCCAAGATCACGCCATTGCACTCCAGCCTGGGCAATAAGAGCAAAACTCCATCTCAAAAAAAAAAAAAAACAAAGAATTTACAGAATCATACAGAATCCTAGGGGGTGGAAAACACCATTAAAGTCATGAGGTCCAGGGATTTTCAAACATGTTTAGGTAGTAGAGCTCCTAGAAGTCACAGTGCTCTTCGCAAAACATCACAGATTACTGACAGCGAGAATCGTTATATGAACTAGCAATGATTTCACCAGCAGACACAGCATGATGTAATGGGAAAGATCAGGTTTTGAAGTCTCACGGACCTGACTTTTCCATTCACTAACTTGACTACTTGAGTAAGTTAATTAACCTTTCTGTGCCTCTGATCCTTCATCTGAAAAATGGGGAAAGCAAATCCCTCTTGCAGGGTTGAGTTACTTTTGATACATGTATAGGTACATATATGTAATATTTGAACCTTAAAAATGGTAGCAACAGGTCCATAATTCCCTATCCAAACTTTCTGGAGCCAGCTTTGTTTCAAAATTAAGAATCTTTTTTACTTAAAAAATGTAATATCGGACGTATGTCATCCAAATGATACCCCTAGCTGAGTTTGTGGCAGTATCCCATAATCTAACACTTTACATTTCTGTAGAGTTTGCACCAAATTTATGAAAAATATTCTTTGTTTTAAAATCATTTTGAATTTAGTTGGCATTTTTGATTTGTGGACAAAGGATTGTAAACATGTGTTATTATTTGAAGGTAATATAACTGCTATGTTTCAGGTCTACACAGCTTAAGAAAATACAAGCCAAGTGCAGTGGCTCACACCTAGAATCCTAGCACTTTGGGAGGCAAAGGCAGGAGAATCACTTGAGGCCAGGAGTTTGAGAACTGCCTGGGCAACACAGCAAGGGCCCCAACTCTACGAAAAAAAAAAAACAATTTTTTTTTTTTTTGAGATGGAGTCTTGCTCTGTCACCAGGCTGGAGTGCAGTGGCGCCAGCTCGGCTCACTGCAATCTCTGCCTCCTGGGTTCAAGTGATTCTCCTGCCTCAGCCTCCTAAGTATCTGGGATTACAGGTATGCACCACCACACTCAGCTAATTTTTTGGTTTTTTGAGATGGAGTCTCACTCTGTCACCAGGGCTGGAGTGCAATGACGTGATCTCAGCTTACTGCAACCTCTGCCTCCCAGGTTCAAGCGATTCGCCTGCCTCAGCCTCCCAAATAGCTGGGATTACAGGTGCCCACCACCACACCTGGCTAATTTTTTGTATTTTTAGTAGAGACGGGGTTTCACCTATGTTGGCCAGGCTGGTCTTGAACTCCTGACCTCATGATCCACCCCCTCTTCGGCCTCCCAAAGTGCTGGGATTACAGGCCTGAGCTACTGCGCCGGGCCATTTTTTTTGTATTTTTAGTAGAGATGGGGTTTCACATGTTGGCCAGGATGGAAAAAAATTTTTTAATTGGCTGGCTGTGGTCACACTCTTGTAGTCCCAGCTACTTGAGAGGATCGCTTGAGCCCAAAAGTTCAAGGCTGCAATGAGCTATTATCACACCACTGCACTCCAGCCTGAGCAACAGAGTGAGACCCTGTCTCAGCTGATACAACTCACAGCTGTCCCCTTCTTGGAGACTTGCCCTCAACCAAATGGGAGCTATCTCTCTTGGTGGTAAGGGAACCAGGGAGAAGACTTGTCAATGACTGTCTGACACAGTCCCTTGAAACAAGGGACTAATTTTGGGGTACAGGTCTTGTTTCAGTTTCCCTGTGGGGTTAGACTGGAGCGGGAATTCACACTCTTCCTTACCTTTACTCCACTGCTTCAACAAGTTACTTCGATAAGTTACTTGAACCAGAATCCCTATCTCAGGCTCTGCTTCTGGGGAACTTAAGGTAAAATACTTGGTACCACGAATGGTCCTTGAAAGCAGACCTAAGGATGGGATTCTGGAGTTGGATCACACATGGACTGGATGGTAATGCGGTAGGTGGAATGAGAGTCTCTGGCATGCCATATATGTAACTGCAAGACTTTCACCTATAGTGAATTGGGGTGGAATATAGGTGGAAGGAAGGGGATATTCAGTCTAGCTGGTGCAATGTCTCAGGCATTTGAGAGATATATGGGAAATACCAACTATAAGGATAGTGGAAGTGGGAGTCTGTTGCTAAATGCCATTGATTGATTGATGAAAGAAAATGAGCCAGGTGTGGTGGCTCACGCCTATAATTCCAGCACTTGGGAGGCTGAGGCAGGAGGATCACTTGAGCCCAAGGAGTTCAAAACCAGCCTGGGAAACATAGTGGGAACCTGTCTCTACAAAAAAATTTTTTTAAAAATTAGCTGGCTGTGGTGGCTTATGCCTGTAATCCCAGCTACTCAGGAGGCTAAGGTGGGAAGATTCCTTGAGCCCAGGAGTTCAAGGCTGCAGTGAGCCATGATCACACCACTGCACTCTGGCCTGGGCAACAGAGCAAGACTCTGTCTCTAAAGGAAAAAAGAAAAAAGAAGAATAGAAAAAGAAAGAAGGCCAGGCGCGGTGGCTCACGCCTGTAATCCCAGCACTTTGGGAGGCTGAGGCAGGCGGATCATGAGGTCAGGAGATCAAGACCGTCCTGGCTAATGCAGTGAAACTCCATCTCTACTAAAAAATACAAAAAATTAGTTGGGCATGGTGGTGGGCACCTGTAGTCCCAGCTACTCAGGAGGCTGAGGCAGGAGAATGGTGTGAACCCAGAAGGCGGAGCTTGCAGTGAGCTGAGATCACACCAATGCACTCCAGCCTAGGCCACAGAGCAAGACTCCATCTCAAAAAAATAAATAAATAAATAGAAAAGAAAAGAAAGAAAGGAAATGACAGGCTCAGATATATTAATCAACAATTTAAAGCAAAGGACCTCACTGGTAGCATTTAAAGAGACTTTCACCCCTTGCAGCCAGTAGGCCAAGGTAGTTAATTATCAGGCAGAATTGTGAGAGTGGGAGCTTCGATAAAAGGCTGAATTCTCAGCATAGGCAAGTCTCCTCACAAAAGTTGGGCCCTAATACGGAAGAAGTAGGACCCTGCGATTTGAAGTGAGGATATGTAGGTAGATACATTTGAGAAGCTTGAATCTCAAGATTCCTTTAAACCCCCAGGCCTATTGAAGTGACTCACTGTCTCAAGTAGGAAGATGAATGCCTGTTTCCTACTCCCTTTGTAGGTAATTTATAAGACAATGCAGGACCTCCTTAGAATCTGTCCTGATCGTTCCTCCTGGCCACAAGTCCCATAAGTAAAATCAAATAGCACAACTAGGTAAATGCAGGGTATGCTAAGGGAAAAGGGAGAGATATATGCCAAAGTGGCTGTAGGATCTGGTTTACATGTGCTGGCGAGTACCAGAAGAATATGCCTGAGGGGTGGATAAATGGTGAAATTTAAAGTTGGATAGGAAGAGTTCATCAATATCAGGGCACTCTCCTGTGACACAGGATTTAAAACCCTACAAGTGCCCCAGGAGATGATTCTGTACACTGCTGGAATGGATCTTTGAAGCCTGAGAAAAGGGACAGCCTACATTCACATTAAAGTAGAGATGCTAGAACTGCCACAGCAAACTATGGTAAAGGGAATCAAAAGACTCAGAGAGGCCAGGCGCCATGGCTCACACCTGTAATCCACCAGTTGATTTCCAAGGCCCACCCTTGGAAGGGCCTTGAGGACATGCCATTTACCAAGGAAACAAGGAATGCACTAGTTAGGGGAGGTACCAGCATCATGAAGATTACAGCAACTATCCTCTAAGTCAGGACTAATGGTGGGAGATGGGCTCCCAAGTAGCAATGGGGATAGATCTCAGAATAGCAGAGATCAAGTGGCAGCACTTAACCATTGAAAAAAGGGTGGACTTAATGTCAGAATGGGTAGCCAGGAGGGCATGACCAAGAGAGATTTTGCAGATGACTTAAAAAACATGATGTTCTCAGGGACAAGACAGATGGATGCCCATTGTATAAGTAAAAGATTTCAAGAATGTATGAGAAGAAAAAAAGACAAATACTGTATGATTTCCCTTATTTGAGATATCTAAAGTGGTCAAATTCATAGAAACAGAAAGTAGAATGGTGGTTTCCAGGGCCTTGGGGAGGGGAAAATGGTGAGTTGTTTAATGGGTATAGAGTTTCAGTTTTGCAAAATGAAAAAGTTCTGGGGATCTGTTGCACAACAGTGTGAATATACTTAACACCATGAACTGTATGTACTCTTAAAGATGGTTGAGATTGTAAATTTTATGTTGTATGCTTATCACAATTAAATTTTTTTTTTAATTTTAATTATTGCAGGGGGTGGGCGTGATGGCTCACTCCTGTAATCCAGCACTTTGGGAAGGTGGGAGGATTGTTTCAGCACAGGACCTGGGCAATAAAAAGTCAGACTTCGTCTCTACAAAAAATAAAAAACGTAGCCAGGTTTGGTGGCACATGCCTGTGGTCTCAGCTACATAGAGGGCTGAGGCAGGAGGATCGCTTGAGCCCAGGAGGTTGAGGCTATGGTGAGCCGTGTTCATGCCATTGCACTCCAGCCTGGGCAACAGAGTGAACCCTGCCTCAAAAAAAAAATTTGTGGGTACATAGTAGATGTATATACATTTGTGGGGTACATGAGATATTTTGATACAGGTTTACAATGTGTGATAATCACATCAGGGTAAGTGGGGTATCCATCACCTCAAGCATTTATCCTTTCATTGTGTTACAAACAATCCAATTATACTCTTTTAGTTTTTCTGTTTGTTTGAATGTTTGAGACACAGGCTCACTCTGTTGCCCAGGCACTGGAGTGCAGTGGCACAATCTTGGCTCACTGAAGCCTCCACCTCCCGGGTTGAAGTGATTCTCCTGCCTCAGTCTCCCAAGTAGCTGGGACTATGGGCGTGCACCACGATACCTGGCTAGTATGTTTTTGTATTTTTAGTGGAGAGGGGGTTTTGCCATTTTGGCCAGGCTGGTCTCGAACTCCTGACCTCAGGTGATCCATCCACCTCGGCCTCCCAAAGTGCTGGGACTACAGGCGTGAGCCAAGCCCAGCCTTCTTTTAGTTATTCTTAAATGTACAATAAATTATTGTTGACTGCAGCCACTTTATTGTGCTATCAAATACTAGATAATATTCATTCTACCTAAGTATATTTTTGTACTGATTAACCATCCTCACTTCCCCCTACCCTCCCAGCATCTGGTAACCATCATTCCACTCTCTGTCTCCATGAGTTTAATTTTTAGCTCCCACAAATAAGTGAGAATATGTGGTTTGTCTTTCAGTGCCTGGCTTATTTCATTTAACATAATGACCTCCAGTTCCATCCATGTCATTGCAAAACAGGACCTCATTCTTCTTCATGGCTGAATAGTGGTCCATTGAGTGTATGTGCCACATTTTCTTCATCTATTCATCTGTTGATGGAAACAGGTTTCTTCCAAATCTTGGCTCTTGTAAATAGTGCTGCAATAAACATGGGAGTACAGATATCTTTTAAACATACTGATACAATTTTAGAAATTACAATTTTTAAAAAAAAAAAGAATGAGGAGAAAGCTGAAATCAGCTGCACTGGAAAGTCAAAAATCTTTGCCTGTTTTCAGACCTAGAAGCCATCAACTGAAGGAGGGAAGAGGCCTCCATAAGGAGGGACCCTGCTAAACCACAGCAAGTATATATAGTAGTGATTCCTCCAGTTCTTCCCCAAAGGGACCTATGGTCATTTATTCAGATAACCTTACACTAAAGAGTTAGGAAAATATCCAGATCTTTCAAGGGTTGCTGGATACTAGATCTAAGTTAACACTGATATCTGGGGACCTAAAGCATCAGCATGGTCCACCAATTGGAATAAGAGTACATGTGGGTGAGGAAATAAATAGAGTCCTGACCCAGGTCTGTTGTACAATGGTTCCACTAGGTACATGGACCTACCCAGTTGTCTCTCCTGTTCATGAGTGTATACTTGAAATAGGCGTACCTAGAAATTGCAGAACCCTCACTGTAGATGAAGAACTACTGTAGTAGTAAGAAAGGCCAAGTGGAAGCTCCTGAAACTGCTCCCTTATAATGGCCAATATAATAAATCAAAAACCTATGACATTCTAGTGAAATGACAGAGTTTAGTGCCTCCCTCAAAACTTTAAAGAATGCAAGAATGGGCCAGGCGCGGTGGCTCACGCCTGTAATCCTAGCACTTTGGGAGGCCGAGGCAGGCGGATTGCCTGAGCTCAGGAAGTTTGAGACCAGCCTGGGCAACATGATAAAACCCCGTCTCCACTAAAAAATACAAAAAATTAGCCAGGTGTGGCAGCGTGTGCCTGAGTCCCAGCTATTAGGGAGGCTGAGGCAGGAGAATGGCTTGAACCCGGGAGGCGGAAGCTGCAGTGAACCGCGGTCACACCATTACACTCTAGCCTGGGTAACAGAGAGAGACTCTGTCTCCAAAAAAAAAAAAAAAAAAAGAATGCCAGAAGGATGGTCCCTGTGACATTTCCATTTAACAGTTTTAATTTTTTTTTCTTAATTTTTCTTAACCTCTGCCTCCTGAGTTTAAGTGATTCTCATGCCTCAGCCTCCAGAGTAGCTGGAATTACAGGCGCATGCCACCACGCCTGGCTAATTTTTGTATTTTTAGTAGAGACGGGGTTTCACCATGTTGGCCAGGCTGGTCTCGAACTCCTGCCATCAAGTGATCTGCCCACCTCGGCCTCCCAAAGTGCTGGGATTACAGGTGTGAGCCATCATGCCCGGCTTCAAATGCCCTTGCTCTAAGATCATTTGGTGGCAAGGAACAGTCTCTCAAGCTGGCTTAAACGGAATGATGGTGGCAGAGGGAGGTGTTTTTAAGAACACAAAAATCTCACTGACAAGTTAGCAACCCAGGGACAGAAAAAGGACAGCCAGGCATCATAGGACAGAAATTGTGAAATCATTTTCTGAGACTGTTCTCTTTTTAGGGTTGTCTATTATTTCGGCTTCATTCTTATAGCTTCCACTGCTTGTACCTGGCCCAGTGTGAGTGTTCTAGCTCCATCCTACAGGATCGTTCAGTCCAAGGGTCCATTAGCATCTGATTCAGTCTTAGTACAGAATCCTTAGAAATAAATGGATTGGCTCAGCTGTTAGTCTATGGATTGGTTCTTGGGTCACTGTTTTGCCCTCGGTCTGAGCATCTATTACTGGTGTGGAGTCACGCTCTGTAAACATGGCTGTCTAGGCTTCTTAAGAAGGATATGTGGATGTAAAACAATATTAGAATGGGTGTGAGTTGGGCTAAATACACTGTGATAACAAGCTTGCTCTAGCAAACATAAAGATGGGATGAAGATCCTTTTCTTCTGTGACACTTAAAAAGAGTCTGTAGCACTGACCTGGTCCTTGGTATGACCTTTTATTTTTTGAGTGTATGCTATTTTCTAACAACTGTAATACTGTGGAGGTAGGGATTAGTGCCAACTCATCTCTGACTCCTCAGAGTACCAACTCAAAGTTTCTCAGCACTGTGGTCTTGGGAATGACTTATTGCTGAGGTAAACTGTATCCATAATGTTTTTGATCGGTTAGACTTACCTACAGTTGGCTGATCTCTTCCACATGGGGTTCCTAGAGGCATTTCACAGGTTTTTTTTTGTTGTTATAGTAAAATATTCATAAAGTTGACCCAGTATAGTGGCTCATGCCTGTAATGCCAACACTTTGGGTGGCCAAGGCAGGCAGATTTCTTGAGTCCAGGAGTTCAAGACCAACCTGGGCAACATGGCGAAACCCTGTCTCTACCAAAAAAAAAGTACAAAAATTAGCTGGGCATGGTGGTACACACCTGTAGTCCTAGCTACTTGGAAGGCTGTAGCAGGAGGATTGCTTGAGTTCAGGAAGCGGAGGTTGCAGCAAGCCAAGAACAAACCACTGCACTCCAGCCTGGGTGATAGAACAAGACCCTGTCTAGAAAACACACACACACACACACACACACACACACACACATACACACACACACACGATATACATAGTTTGTCATTTTAACCAATTTTGAGTACACAATTCAGTAGCATTAAATACATTCATATTGTTGTGCAAACATCATGACTATCCATCTCCACAACTTTTTCATCCATTCCAAACTCAAACTCTGTACTCACTACACAATAACTCTCCATTCTGCACTCCCTTTCTACCCCATAGTAATTCTTTCTGTCTCTATGAATTTGATCATGCTAAGGCAGGAGTCGCCAACCCCCAGGCCATGACCCATATTGATCAGTGACCTGTTAGGAACCAGACTGCACAGCAGGAGGTGAATAGAGAGTGAGTGAACAAAGCTTCGTCTTTATTTACAGCTGCTCCCCATTGTTTGCATTACTGCCTGAGCTCCGCCTCCTGTCAGATCAGTAGCAGCATTAGATTCTCATAGAAGCGTGAACCCTGTTGCGAACTGCACATGCGAGGAATCTAGGTTGTGGGCTCCTTATGCAAATCTAATGCCTGATAATGGGTCACTGTCTCATATGACCCCCAGATGGGGCAGTCTAGTTGCAGGAAAACAAGCTCAGGGCTCCCACTGATTATACATTATGGTGAGTTGTGTAATTATTTCATTACATACTACAATGTAATAATAATAAAGTACACAATAAATGTAATGCACTTGAACCTTCCCAAAACCATCCCCCAGTATGCCCCCAACTGGTTTGTGGAAAAAATTGTCTTCCATGAAACCAGTTCCTGGTGCCAAAAACGTTGGGGACCACTATTCTAAGGTACCTCATATAAGTGGAATCATATAACATTTGTTCTTTTATGTCTCGCTTATTTCACTTAGCATAATGTTTTAAAGGTTCATCCCTGTTGTAGCATGTGTCAAAATTTCCTTCCTTTTAAAGGCTGAAAAATATTCTGTTGCATGTACATACCATATTTTGTTTATCCATCCATCCATCCATCAATGGGCACTTGAGTTACTGTTGTGAATAATGCTGCTATGAACATTGGTGTACAAATATGTTTGAGTCCCTGCTTTCAATTCCTTTGGATATATACCTAGAGGTAGAATTGTTGGATCATATGGTAATTCTACATTTAATTTTTTGAGGACCCTCCACATTGTCTTCCACAGTGGTTGTACCATTTTACATTCCCACCAGCAATGTACAAGGATCCCAATTTCTCCACATCCTGACACTTATTTTTTATAATAACCACCCTAATAGGTTCACATCTATTAGGTGTGCTAGCTCATTGTGGTTTTCATTTGCATTTCCCTAATGATTAGTGATGCTGAGTATCTTTTCATGTGCCTGCTATCTGTATATCTTTGGAGAAATGTCTATTTAAGTCTTTTGCCCACTTTTTTTTTGTATTTTGTTTTTACTCCTTTTTTGAGACAGGGTTTTGCTCTGTTACCTAGGCTGGAGTACAGTGGTCTGACCATGGCTCACTGCAACCTCTGCCACCTGGTATCAAGCAATCCTCCCATCTCAACCCTCCAAGTAGCTGAGACCACAGGTGTGTGCCACCACACCTGGCTAATTTTTAATTTTTTTGTAGAGACAAGGTTTCACTATATTGCCCAGGTTGGTCTTGAACTCCTCAGCTCAAGGGATCCTCCTACTTCAGCCTCCCAAAGTTGCTGGGATAATAGGCCTGAGCCATGATGCCCTGCCTTTTTGACCACTTTTTAATTGGGTTCTTTTTATATTGAGTTGTAGACATTCTTTATATGTTCTGAATATTAATCCCTTATCAGATACTTGATTTGTAAATATGGGGTGCTTTTCTAATTTTTTTTTTTAGAGAGAGGGTCTTATTCTGCCACCTGGGCTGTAGTGCAGTGGCCTGATCATAGCTCACTGCAGCCTCAAATTCCTTGGCTCAAGAGATCTTCCCACCTCAGCCTTTGGAATAGCTGGGACCACAGGTACATATCACCATGCCTGCCTTTTCTTTTTTTCTTTTCTTTCTTTCTTTTTTTTTTTTTTTTTTACTTTTTTTGTAGAGACAGGATCTCACTATGTTGCCCAGGCTGGTCTCCAACTCTTGGTCTCCTGCCTCAGCTTCCCAAAGTGGTGGGGTGATTACAAGTATGCGCCACCATGCCCAGCTGCTTTTCTTTCTAGTGTCCTTTGTACATTTTGAATTTTGATGTAATGCAATTTATCTTTTTTGATTTCATTGCCTGTGCCTTTTGCTGTCACATTGAGGCAATCATTGCCAAACTTAGTTTCATGAAACTTCCCTTTCTTCTGAAATTTTTGCTTTTGTTTTTGTTTTGAGATAGAGTTTCACTCTCGTCGCCCAGGCTGGAGTGTAATGGCGCGATCTTGGCTCACTGTAACCTCCACTTCCCCAGTTCAAGAGATTCTCCTGCCTCACCCTCCCGAGTAGCTGGGATTGCAGGCATGTGCCACCACACCCGGGTAATTTTTTATATTTTTAGTAGAGACGGGGTTTCACCCTGTTGGCCGGGCTGGTCTTGAACTCCTGACCTCAGGTGATCGTCCACCTCAGCCCCCCAAAGTGCTAGGATTACAGGTGTGAGCCACTGCACCCGGCTTGTATTTTTTTCTAGACAGTCTTGCTCTGTCTCCCAGGGTGGAGTGCAGTGGCGCCATCTCTGCTCACTGCAACCTCCTCCTCCCAGGTTTAAGCCATTCTCCTGCCTCAGCCTCCTGAGTAGCTGGGATTACAGGCGCACGCCACCATGCCCGGCTAATTTTTGTATATATTTTTTTGAGACTGAGTTTTGCTCTGTCGCCCAGGCTGGAGTGCAGCGGCGCGATCTCGACTCACTGCAACCCGGGTTCAAGTGATTCTCCAGCCTCAGCCTTCTGAGTAGCTGGGATTACAGGCACGTGCCACCACCCCCAGCTAATTTTTTGTACTTTTATTTATTTATTTATTTTTTTGACGGAGTCCCGCTCTGTCACCCAGGCTGGAGTGCAGTGGCACAGTCCCGGCTCACTGCAAGCTCCGCCTCCCGGGTTCACGCCATTCTCCTGCTTCAGCCTCCCGAGTAGCTGGGACTACAGGCGCCCGCCACTACGCCCGGCTAATTTTTTGTATTTTTAGTAGAGACGGGGTTTCATCGTGTTACCCAGGATGGTCTCGATTTCCTGACCTCGTGATCCGCCCGCCTCGGCCTCCCAAAGTGCTGGGATTACAGGCGTGAGCCACCGTGTGCGGCCATTTTTTGTACTTTTAGTACGGACGGGGATACATCATGTTAGCCAGGATTGTCTTAATCTCCTGACCTCGTGATCCGCCCGCCTCAGCCTCCCAAAGTGTTGGGATTACAGGTGTAAGCCAGTGCGTTCAGTTAGGAATTCTCTTTATCTATGCTGTAGGTAATGTGAACTGGCATATTCTTTCTGAAAAGGAACTTGACAAAATGCATGAAGAGTTCTAAAAATGTTCATGGCTCTTTCAGCCAGTAACTACACTTTCAAGAATCAATAGAGGACGTGTGCAGTGGCTCACACCTGTAATCCCTGCACTTTGGGAGGCTGAGGCGGGTGGATCACCTGAGGTCAGGAGTTCGAGGCCAGCCTGGCCAACATGGTGAACCCCCCCGTCTCTACTAAAAATACAAAACATTAGCTGGGAGTGGTGGTGCACACCTGTAATCCCAGCTACTCAGGAAGCTGAGGCAGGATAATCACTTGAACCCAGGAGGCGGAGGTTGCAGTGAGCCGAGATCGTGCCACTGCACTTCAGCCTGGGCAACAAGAGCAAAACTCCGTCTAAAAAAAAAAGAAACTATTGAAGGAACTCAGAACTCAGATTATCTGTCTATGTATCTATCTATAGATCTCTCTCTCTCTATATATATATATATATGTTTTTGTTTTTGTTTTTGTTTTTGTTTTTGAGACATAGTCTCACCCTGTCGCCCAGCAGGCTGTAGTGTAGTGGCACAATCTCGGCTCACTGCAACCTCTGCTCTCGGGTTCAAGCGATTCTCCTGCCTCAGCCTCCTGAGTAGCTGGGACTACAGGTACACGCCACCATGCCCAGCTAATTTTTGTATTTTTATAGAGATGGGGTTTCATCATGTTGGCCAGGCTGGTCATGACCTCCTGACCTTGAGATCCGCCCGCCTTGGCCTCCCAAATGCTGGGATTACAGGTGTGAGCCACCGCACCTGGCCGTGTTGTTTGTGTTTTGAGACAGGGTCTCACTCTATTGCCCAGGCTGGAGTGCAGTGGCACAATCACAGCTCACTGCAGCCTTGACCTCCCCGGGCTCAGGTGATCCTCCCACCTCTGCCTCCTGAGTAGCTGAGACTCTGGGACTACAGGCAGCCGTCACCATGCTTAGCTATTTTTTGTAAAGATGAGGTTTTGCCATGTTGCCCAGGAGTCTTGAGCTCCTGGGCAATATATTACAGGCTCAAGGGATCTTCCTTCCTCAGCCTCCCAAAGTGCTCGGATTACAAGCGTGAGCCACCTTGCCCGGCCCTCTTTCAAGTTTTGTATCTTAGGTTTTTGTCTTTGATTATTTTGAGGTTTTTTGAGACGGAATCTCATTCTGTCGCCCAGGATGGAGTGCAGTGGCGCAATCTAGGCTCACTGCAACCTCCAACTCCAGGGTTCAAGTGATTCTCCTGCCTCAGCCTCCCAGGTAGCTGGGATTACGGGCGCCCGCCACCACATCAGGGTAATTTTTGTATTTTTAGTAGAGATGGGGTTTCACCATGTTGGCCAGGCTGCTCTGGAACTCCTGACCTCAAGTGATCTGCCCAACTCAGCCTCCCAAAGTGCTGGGATTACAGGCATCAGCCACCACACCTGGCCGCATTTTGAGTTAACTTTTGTATATGGTGTAAAGGATCTGTCGTTCTTTTGCATGTGGATATCATTTTCCCAGTGCCATTTGTTGAAGATTTTTTTCCATGGAATGGTCTTGGCACCCTTCTTGAAAATCACTTGGCCATACATGTGAGGACTCATTTCTGGACTCTATTTTATTCCATTGGTCTATATATGTCTTTATGCCCAGTACCACATTGTTTTGATTCCTGTAGCTTTTTTTTTTTTTTTTTGGAGATGGAGTCTCGCTCTGTCGCCAGGCTGGAGTACAGTGTTGCGATCTTCTCGGCTCACTGCAACCTCCGAATCCCTGGTTCAAGCGATTCCCCTGCCTCAGCCTCCCGAGTAGCCGGGTCTACAGGCACGCGCCACCATGCCCAGCTAATTTTTGTATTTTTAGTAGGGATGCGGTTTCACCATGTTGGCCAGGATAGTCTCGATCTCCTGACCTCATGATCCGCCCGCCTCAGCCTCCCAAAGTGACCTCGTGATCCGCCCGCCTCAGCCTCCCAAAGTGCTGGGATTACAGGCGTGAGCCACCACGCCTGGCCCATATTGCTGTAGCTTTTAAGTAAATAAGCTTTCAAATCAGGAAGTGTTAGTCTTCCAACTTTGTTGTTCTTTTTTGAACTCTTTTGGCTATTTTGGGTCTCGAGATTCCGTATGAATTCCCAGATGAGTTTTTCTATTTCTTCAAAAAACATCATTGGGATTTTGACAGGGATTGCACTGAATTTGTAGATCACCTTTAGTATTGACAGCTTAAGAGCCTTCCAATGTATTAACACAGGATGTCTAATTTGTCTTCATTTATGTTAGTGATGTTTTGTAGCTTTCAGTGTACATACTGTCACTGTACATCACTGGTTAAGTTTATTTCTAAATATTTTATTCATATTGATGCTACTGTAAATGGAATTGTTTCCTTAATTTCCTTTTTGGATTATTCCTTGTGTGTAGAAATGCAATTGAGGCTGGGCGTGGTGGCTCACACCTGTAATCCCAGCACTTTGGGAGGCCAGGGTGGGCAGATCATGAAGTTAGGAGTTCAAGACCAGCCTGGCCAACATGGTGAAACCTCTACTAAAAATACAAAAAAATTAGCTGGGTGTGGTGGTGCACGCCTATAATCCCAGCTACTCAAGAGGCTGAGGCAGGAGAACTGCCTGAACCCTGGATGCAGAGGTTGCAGTGGGCTGAGAATGCGCCACTGCACCCCAGCCTGGGCGACAGAGTGAGATTGTCTCAGGAAAAAAATGATTTTTGTGTGTTGATTTTGCATCCTGCAACTTGGCTGAATTCGTTTATTAGCTTTTTTTTTTTTTTTTAATTGAGACAGAGTCTTGCTCTGCCACCCAGGCTGGAGTGCAGTGGTGTGATCTCGGCTCACTGCAAGCTCCGCCTCTCAGGTTCACGCCATTCTCCTGCCTCAGCCTCCTAAGTAGCTGGGAATACAGGTGCCCGCCACCACACCCATATAATTTTTTGTATATATATTTTTTTTAGTAGAGATGGGGTTTCACCGTGTTAGCCAGGATGGTCTAGATCTCCTGACCTCGTGATCTGCCCGCATCGGCCTCCCAAAGTGCTGGGATTACAGGCATGAGCCACCACGCCTGGCCTTTTTTTTTTTTTTTTCTTTCTGAGACAGAGTTTTGCTCTCGTTGCCCAGGCTGGAGTGCAATGGCGCGATCTTGACTCACTGCAACCTCCGCCTTCCGGGTTCAAGTGATTCTCCTGCCTCAGCCTCCTGAGTAGCTGGGATTACAGGGGCCTGCCACCACACCTGGCTAATTTTTTGTACTTTTGGTAGAGATGGGGTGTCACCATGTTGGCTGGGGTGGTCTCGAATTCCTGACCTCAGGTGATCCACCCACCTCAGCCCCCCAAAGTGCTGGGATTACAGGTGTGAGCCACCATGACTGGCTATTATTATTATTTTTTTTCTGAGAAACAGCCTCACTGTCACCCAGGGTGGAGTGCAGTGGTGTGATCTCAGCTCACTGCAACCTCTGCACCCCAGGTTCAAGTGATTCTCATGCCTCAGCCTCCCAAGTAGCTGGGATTACAGGTGTGTGCTACCACATCTCGCTAATTTTTTGTATTTTTGGTAGAAATGAGGTTTCTCCATGTTGGCCTCAAACTCCTGACCTCCTCAAGTGATCTGCACGCCTCGGCCTCCCAAAGTGCTGGGATTACAGGTGTGAGCCATCACAACCAGCCTCCTTTATTAGTTCTAACAGGTTTTGTGTTGAATAGTTTGATTTTAAACACAGAAAAAATATGGCTGCAAGACAAATTCACTACCTTGTTCAAGTTTATAGAATTGTTTTTCTTTAACAAGGTATGCCTAAAAGGTGGCAAAATTTTAAGAAACACCAGTGTCAAGATCAACATACATAACCCAAGAATTTTTGCCTAAATGCTGCTATGAAACATCCTGAAGTATGCAAAATATTCAATTATTAACTTTATAAAAGTCAACTCCTGAATACATGCAAAAATTACAAACCCTACTTATTTAAAAAAGAAAATCCTTAGACCCTGAACAATCCTTATGACATGTTTGATTTTCAGGTTAATATTGAGTGATATTAATTGGTGAGAGTATCTAACTGGAGAGGCTATGTAAACATAATTTGTAATTATGTAAACATAATTTTCACTTCAATAAATATTTGTTGAGTGGTATGCAGTGATGAGTTTAGACCCTGGGATTTGATAGCTTTTGATTAGAATCTTGGTTCCCCACCAATTAGTTGTTTGGCCTTTTACCAATTTCCCTAAACCATTTTTTTGTTCTTCTTTAAGACAGGGTATAGACTGGGCACAGTGGCTCATGTCTGTAATCCCAGCACTCTGGGAGGCTGAGGTGGGCAGATCATTTTGAGGTCAGGAGCTCAAGACCAGCCTGGCCAACATGGTGAAACCCCGTGTCAATTAAAAATAAAAAAAAACAGCGAGGTGTGGTGGTGGGCACCTGTAATCCCAGCTACTTGGGAGGCTGAGGCAGAAGAATCGCTTCAAGAGGTTGCAGTGAGCCAAGATTGTGCCACTGCACTCCAGCCTGGGTGATAGAGACTCCGTCTCAAAAAAAAAAAAAAAAAAAAGATAGGGATTATAATATCTGCCGCATCAGACTGAGAATTAAATGAGATAACTTTGTATTCAACAGTAAGTAGTTGAAAAACATTACATATTATGATGTTGAGTAAACTACACATTGGGCACTACGAGAAAGTAAAAAGAAAATCAAATAATCTTAATACTCTACTATGGCAAATGAATAGTATGCTGGAAGTAAATGTAAGGACATGCTCAGATAGGAAATTTAGGTAGCTGGCTCCTGTGTAATGGGCTGGAGAGAGTGGATCATAAACAAAACTATTAAGAAAGCTATAATAATTCAGGCAAACTCTATGTGGCATAGCAATACAGGCTGAACTGGAGTGTTGTTCAACACAGGTTGAAATGCAGTGTAGAATGGAGACTTTCTGTGCCTAGAACCATGAGCTTCGGAAAATCTAAGCCATAGCTTAGGAGATAACACGCTTTAATCATCTTCTACCTTCACCTTAATAATTTAGGGGATTCTAAGAAATCATGACTCTTCTAGGTACCATTTTATAGATAAAACTGAGGCTCAGAGAGCAAGGCCATCATTGCATTATTAATGGAGGACACTATTCACACTGCAGTCTATGAAAATGACACCTTCTGGAACACAACAAAAATAAGTGATGGCTCCCGAAGTTGTGCACCGCAGCAGCCCTGTCAGAAAGGTTACAATGTAAGGGTAGATAGCAGAATTGATCTCTATCTAAAAACTTGTGCTTTTCCCACTATAACATACTATCTCTTACCATGGTATCTTATTTATGGGTATGTAGCATACCTAGGGTTAAACACTGAATTAAAACAAAGAAACAAATCAAACATATCGCAGATATGGGTTTTTCATAAGAACTTCATAGGCTTATTAAAGTGAATTTAATGGAATCCTGTAAGCACTAGCTACTTAACAACAAATTAAGGTGCTTGATATATTCTTAAACCATTACTTAATGGGAAAAATAAGGGTAAAACAGATATAAGAGCCCAACCATTTACTTTGGACTTGTCCAAAACAGATAAGGCGCTTTACAAAGAACAAAAACAAAAACAAAAAAACCTCAAAGGACTAACACAAAAATTAAGATCATAAATCAATTTTCTGCAGACATTTCTTGAATTATCCCAAAATTTTAAGGTCAATTTCCCCCCCAAAATGTTTTTATCATTGTTATCTTGGCAAAAAATACCTAATCTTAGTAAGAAGCACATATTTAACTAGTTATTTAAATATAAAAAAAGATTTAATTCATATTTATGCCAAGAACACTACAATTTACAAAAGTTTCATCCAAACTCTTACCCTATGTCTACCCACACCAGAGGGAGGAACATGTCTTTGTGGAGAGGATTTCTTTGAGACTCTAAATATGCTTTGTTCAGGAAAGGGGAAGATACAAAAATATAGAACAAAAAAGAATATTGGCTCATTGTACACAAGAGAGGCCAGCCATTAAGAATTGTTATCAATACAATAAAAGGGAATACTTGGCCAGAGATCCTCTAGATAAGTAGCTAAAATGTGATCAAAAGGAGAAAGAGGAAGAAGCAAATACACAAACGTTTTATGGGTATTAATAAAAATAAAGACATCTCTGAACAAATGATAAAATCCCTTCCCTGAAAAATTTCAAATGAGATTCACAGAAATGCAGAAGCAGAAGAAACTTTAGATTTAGAAACATCTCATTTGGGCTGGGTGCAGTGGCTCACGCCTGTAATCCTAGCACTTTGGGAGGCCGAGGCAAATGAATCACCTGAGGACAGGAATTCAAGACCGGCCTGGGCAACATGGTAAAACCCCATCTCTACTAAAAATACAAAAAAAAAAAAAAAAAATCCCAGCTACTGTGGAGGCTGAGACAGGAGAATCGCTTGAATCTGGGAGGTGGAGGTTGCAGTCAGCCGAGACCACAACATTGCAGTTCGGCCTGGACAACAAGAGCAAATCCCCATCTCAAACAAAACAAAACAGAATAAAATCTTATTTGACTGATGATAAATTTCAGAGTAGTTAGATGACCTGTCCAAGGTCACATAATGCCAGAGTTTTGACTAGGACACAAGTCTCCTGGCTTCCAAGTGTGTGTTTTCTTTCATGTGCTATACTGCCTATTATTTATCTGTCCCTAACCACTTGAAGTGGTTCCCCCTAACTCTGCCTCCACAATGTCCCCCTTTGGGACAATTAGAGAAAGAATTCTGGACTGTGTAGACTGTGGAGCTACTGACCTAACACTGGATGAGGCATTATTTCAAACAATTACTGCACTAACATTCATTTACAGGTGGAGGGTAGAGGAATAATATAAAAGGAAATTCTGTACACAACATCAAGAAAAGCACAAGAGGAAATATTCTCCTCTTTTGCACTGTTATTTTATTTTGTTTAGTCCATATATTATATAAAACATAACAGGAAAAATGAACGAATTTATAAAATAAATTGAGGTGTTTGGATGAAAAAAAATACAAGAGCTTTGCCTTCATGTCTACAGATCTCTTAATATATTGTTGGTCTTGCACCTTAGATATCAAATAAAGATATCTAGCTTGACACAAAAGTTGGTAGCTGCAAGGTTAAGCTGTATTAGTTTGATGATGGGCCAGGAAATGATATATTTTCTAAATTTTGTCCTTAAATATTGGCTGTAACAAATGCTGATATAGCAAAAAGTAAGCTTCTATTAGACAGCAAGAGGGAAACTTGAGTGAATGAATGCAACTTACCTCCAAGTCCTCTTAAAGGAGGTAAAAAAATAAATACTGTGTTTTACCAGTGCTCCCCTCAAAGCATTATTCTAAGCATGCAGGAGGGTATAGTGAGCAGCTACAATAGTAAGATCCAACCCAGAGGTAGGTTCAAGGCCAAGAGTAGGAGAGTGGTTGAGGAAATCCTCCTAGGGCCAGTACCATTTCATAGAATGCCCATTTGTGCTGGGAGATGAGTCTATGGCCTATTTTCTTCTGATTCAAAAGGACATTCCCAATTTCAACCTTGCTGAAAAACAGGCATTTTTGTACCTGCTGTTAAGAACAGCTAGGATACAGGATAAGGCTGGCATAAAATTATTTAGCAAGCACATGCTAGCTATTCCAGTTTGAAATCTACCAAACTGTAACATCAGGGAGAAATAAAAAGTTGAAGATGAAGTTGTTCCTCAAGCTGAGGGAACAAAATCTTACAAAAGGAGGGATTAGGCACTCGCTAAACTCTATATGGAGAACATCCTTCTCAAGCTAGGTGGAAGATGAGGAAGAATATTACCAAAAGCTGACCAGGCCATTTGGAGACCAAAAGGAGAGGAAAAAAGGCATTTAGGAAGCAAGCTAGTAAAAGAAGTTCTTCTGGGTCTGACTAGGTAAGTTAATCTAAGGCAACCATACCAAAGATATGTTACCCATTACTCCAGCATGAAGCCAGTGGCAAAATACCTCAAGATATTTTAAATCCAGAGAAGTGTATGAAAAATATGATAGTTAACCAAGCAAATTAAAATCAAACCACTAATGGTAAAAATCTCTTCAGATTTGAAATCCAAGATACTCACTTTCCATTAATTCTGTGTCTTACGGGGGGAAAAGAAAAGTAACAAATGTAAAGATTTTTTTTATTTCTACTGGGGAGGGAGGAGGATAAATAGAACTGTTTTCCAATTTGCTCTCCACTGTATACACACATACCCACACACATACATAAACATACATACACCAAAAATACCCCAAACAAAAAACAAAAAAACCAGGAATCAAAAACCAAAACACCCTCAAACTGCACCAATACTTCATATTTTGACCAAAAAAATATCCTGGGAGGAAGTGCAAAATGCAAAATCAAATGACCGAAAAATGCTGAACAAACAGCATTATTAATATACAAAATATTTATATTACTGAACTAGTAACAGGTGATGTTCTCCATGTCTGTAAAACTTTGGAACCACATAGCTGATTTGTTAAATCTAGTCCATGCCAGCTTCCAAAAACCAAACTTTTAGTTAGCTTCATTCTTTGATGCCTCATCAAAATTTTCTACAAGATCTGAAAAAGAAAAACAAAGTATATGAATCAAAGAATACAAAAAAGGAAAAAGAGGTAAATGGAACTCCTAACTTCTAACCCCCGAAAAAATAAAATTAGTACAACCAGAATTAGCCTGAAAACATAAGGAGGCAGAAATGAACTGGTGGCATTTTACTAACAATGATTTAATTATTTGCTTAGGACAGTAATCCTAAGGAAATGTTCATCTTTTGTCTATGCAAATTACTGAGGTGAATAGCATTTTCATATGTCAATTATAATTCATACAGAAATGTTATAACAATAGCTATGCAAATTTATAATCACAGTGATTTCAATTTAATAAATCCAGGCAGCAGAGCTTTGTGTGACAATTTCTGATTCTAGGTTCTAAGGTGGGTGCTTACGTTGTTTTTCATTAGATCCTATCCACATTATTGTGAATCAATTTAAATTCATGAGCTTACAATCAACACAAACCTAAAAGTTATCTATGCAATGACTGAAAGGAGATAAACAGGATGCTTAAAATCTTAAGTCTAAGGAAATGTCACTTACCTGGAACATCATCATCTTCCTCATCAATGTCTTCTGGTTTTGGTGCTTTACTGTCCAAGACTACAAAAAGTTTATTTTAATATTAGTCATTGAGAACAAAGACCTTAAAGAAAACTTATAATGTTTATCCCTTTTTTCCTGTATAAATCACACAGAGTTGCTCAGAAATAGCTAAATATTGTCAATCTAAAATGCCATTCATATTTTTTGCTTGAGTAACATTAAAAATAAAACTTTAATCAGTTAATACACTGATAACACAGCTGGCAATTTCCATGTGTGACAAAGATGAAATTTATTTTATTTATTTTTATTTATTCATTTTTTGAGACAGGGTCTCACTCTGTTGACCAGGCTGGAGTGTAGTGATGCGATCTTGGCTCACTACAGTCTCCACCTCCCAAGTTCAAGCAATTCTCCCTGCCTCCCAAGTAGCTGAGATTACAGGCAAACACCACCATACCCAGCTAATTTTTGTATTTTTAGTAGAGATGGGGTTTCACCATGTTGGCCAGGCTGGTCTCGAACTCCTGACCTCAAGGGATCCACCTGCCTTGGCCTCCCAAAGTGCTGGGATTACCGACATAAGCCACCACACACGGCCTACAAAGATAAAATTTATATGCAAAGTGGAATAACTGATCACTGAGTAAAAAGACTTTACAGTGGCCATATTCTCCAAATAAAAAATTAATATTAAGGTTTTTTTCAGCCAGGTATGGTGGTTCACACCTGTAATCCACTGCACTCCATCCTGGGCGACAGAGTCAGACTCTGTCTCAAAAAAAAAACAAAACAAAAAAACAAACAAACAAAAAAAACCAAGCAACAACAACAACAACAACAACAACAAAGCTGGGCACAGTGGCTCATGCTTGTAATCCCAGCACTTTGGGAGGCTGAGGCAGGTGGATCACGAGGTCAGGAGTTTAAGACCAGCCGGGCCAAGACGGTGAAACCCTGTCTCTACTAAAAATATAAAAATTAGCCAGGCGCAGTGGCGGGCGCCTGTAATCCCAGCTAACTTGGGAGGCTGAGGCAGATAATTGCTTGTACCCGGCAGGTGGAGGTTGCAGTGAGCCAAGATCATGCCACTGCACTCCAGCCTGGGCAACAGAGCAAGACTCTGTCTCAAAAAAAAAAAAAAAAAAAAAAAAAGATTTTTTTCATTTCTTTTGGTGTAAGAAAGTATCTAGCTAGGTAGTATGGGCACTACAATACTAGATTTTTTCATTTTTAGGGGCAACATGACACATTTGAAACCAGGACTATCTTGGAAATTCAGAACTTACGGTTGCCACATTTATAGGGCAATCAATATTTAACAAAAACATAGATGTCTGACAACATTATTTTCTTTTTTCTTTTTTTTTTTTTAGAGACAGGGTCTCCCCCCTCTGTCACCCAGGTTGAAGTACAGTGGCTTTCCATAGCTCACTGCAGACTTGAAGTCCTGGGCTCAAGTGATCCTCCTGCATCAGCCTCCTGAGTAGCTATGACTACAGGCACGTGCTATCACACCTGGCTAATTTTTGTATTTTTTGTACAGATAGGGTCTCACCATGTTGCCCAGGCTGGTCTTGAGCTCCTGGCCTCAAGAAATACTCCCTCCTCAGCATCACAAAGTGCTGGTATTACAGGAGTGAGCCACTGCGCCCAGCCATATAACAGTATTTTCTGATTGTCATTAATTAGCAGTGAATATCAAATTAACTATTTAAAATGATGGGCCAAGCATGGTAGCTCACGCCTGTAATCCTAGCACATTGGGAGGCGGTAGGTAGGTGGATCACTTGAGGCCAGGAGCTCAAGACCAGCCTGGCCACCATGGCGAAACCCTGTGTATACTAAAAATACAAAAATTAACTGGGTGCAGTGGTGCACACCACCTGTAGTCCCTGCTACTCGGGAGGCTGAGGCATGAAAATTGCTTGAATCCACAAGGTGGAGGTTGTTGTGACCTGAGATCGCACCACTGCACTTCAGCCTGGGAGACAGAGCAAGACTTTATGTCTCAAAAATAAATAAAATGAAATAAAATAAAATAAAATTATGGCCTGAAGATCTGGGCACTACCCTTTTAGGTAATTACTTCTCAACTTACTATTATTACTACCAAAATGTTTCCGAATATTCTTTTTTTTTTTTTTTGAGACGGAGTTTCCCTCTTGTTGCCCAGGCTAGAGTGCAATGGCATGATCTCAGCTCACTGCAACCTCTGCCTCCCGGGTTCAAGCAATTCTCCTGCCTCAGCCTCCCGAGTAGCTGGGATTATAGGCGCCTGCTACCATGCCTGGCTAATTTTTGTATTTTTAGTACAGACGAGGTTTCACCATGTCGGTCAGGCTGGTCTCGAACTCCTGACCTCAGGCAATCTGCCCGTCTCGGCCTCCCAAAGTGCTGAGAATACAGGCATGAGCCACCACGCCCAGCCATGTTTCTGAATATTCTATATGTCACACTACATAATCATTAAACAAACTCAAAATTTTATGAAGCATAGAAATAACTTTATAGAAAGTAAAATAATTACATACAGGCAAATCCAAATTAAGATGGGACACCTTTTAAATGATTAGGTTCTTTAAGTAAGGTGGGGAGAGAAAGATTTACTAAATTGAAATACCTACCTTGCCGTGGGAACTGTTCAGCTAACTTCCTAAGGCTTGTTAAACTGTCAGCACCAAGCTGACTTAATATTCCAGGAAGCATTTCTGTGATTGGTTTGGCTTCTGCATGACCAGTAATTGCAAAGGTATTAGCAGAAAGGGAAGCTTGGACTTTGGGATTGTTGAAATGAATAACTGTCCCATCATCTTTAATCATGTTCACCTGTATGATCACAGAAGAAAAATGTACTTCACATGCTAGGTACACTAAAACAATATATTTTTAAAAAGCAATTCAGCCAATTATGGTTCTTTACTTGGTAGTTATGTAATCCCAAGGTAGTAACTGGCCAAGCAACGGACATTCGTGGAAAAAGATCATAGTAATAAAGTAAAATGGTGTAGATGGCACAAATTACTAGGATGGACAAGAAATATTCAATTCATTATAGAATCTAGATTTTAAATTCAAAGACTTCTAAGAGAAGGAAGTACATGACCATGTTTTTTTAAAAAATGGAAGTATCAGCCAAAAACCAGCTTCTTAATGAAATTACTCATTATCTTACTCAATTTATACTGTCAAACAAAATCAGTGCAATTTCCACTTGGCAGGGTAGCATCTTACTTAGGGGACTGGTTACAAAGGGGAAATAGTATATGGTAAAAACAACCACTAAAAATCCATAAAGAACACTCAGAAACGTAACCAGGTGTTTCATTCCTTCAAGCACTTAGTACATTTATAAAAATTTCAACTTGTTCTAATCATGCCATTCTTTGTAAGGGATTTTGCTAGTTCTTCTAATTTTTTTTTTTTTTTTGAGACAGAATCTCGCTGTGTCATCCAGGCTAGAGTGCAGTGGCATGACCTCGGTTCACTGCAGCCTCTGCCTCCCAGGTTCTAACCATTCTCCTCCCTCAGCCTCCCAACCTGGTAGCTGAGATGAGAGGCACATGCCACTATGCCCAGCTAATTTTTGTATTTTTAGTACAGATGGGGTTTCACCATGTTGGCCAGGCTGGTCTCGAACTCCTGACCTCAGGTGATCTGCCCACCTCAGCCTCTCATGGTGCTAGGATTACAGGCATGAGCCACCACACCCAGCCAGTTCCTCTAATTCTTAAGGGTAGCTTCTCAACAATCTTTAATAACCCCTGTAAAGGTCAAAGAAATTGTCCCACCCACTCACCTAGTGACCTGAACATGCTTTATCAACTAGGAAACCTTTAAAAATCATCCTCACATTCTTTCCATAACTTTCACCAATATGAACTATTTCAGATTTGATTTCATCCATTGCCTGGGACTTACTGAAATGGAAGGTTTAACATGTGCTACTTAAGATTGTTATTTTTCTCTCTCACTCATGTACTTCATGTTTTTTTCAGTAGAGTTGAATTTGTGTAAGTTAAATGTGTGAATAACGTGATTCCACTATGTAGTTGATTCCCCTGGGTAAGTTACCTTGTGGGGTAACATGCTTACTATATAAAAAGGTTAGGAAGAGTTAACTCTTGGCTACTTTAGAAGCATTTCATGATTCATCCAAAATCTGCCCTGTCAAAATCAAGCATAGATGCTGAGTGTTCTCCATGGACAGTGGGAAGAGGGCTTTTCTTCCTCAGAGGTGATTACCACCATTGATAGCACCAGAAAGGAAGGGCAAGAAAGGGGCTTCTAAATTTCAGGCAAGACCTGGAACACAGAGAAAATAAAGGCAAATCCCTGGAAAATTGTAACTAAACCCACAAATAATTTCCCCAGGTTTTTCTGACAAAAATCACTATTTAAATTCTATACCCTTCCCTCTCTCACTATTACACTTAGGGTTCTATTAATTATATCACACACAAGCATTCAACCCAGCTGTTCTAAAAACACAGCACTGTGAGTTATGTTAACTTCAGAAAAGATAAATTATATAGTTTTGAAGATAATTACAGTTTTGTTAAAAAGTTAAATGTTAAAGTGGGTGAAATCTGGGCTCGAGAAGGATGACAGTGGATGTGAAATGGGATGTTGCTCTGCATTTAGCCTAGAATCACATAATTTTAGAATGGGAAAAGAACAAAAGATATGGTAGGACTATATTTTTCAAATCAAGACCAAATCACGTGGTTTAAAAGAGGATTTCAGGCCAGGTGCGGTGGCTCACACTTGTAATCCTAGCACTTTGGGAGGCCAAGGTGGGCAGATCAAGAGTTCAGAATCAGCTTGGCCAACATGGTGAAACCCCATCTCTACTAAAAATACAAAAATAGCCAGGCATGGTGGTGGGTGCCTGTAATCCCAGCTACTCGGAGGCTGAGGCAGAAGTGGCTTGAACCCAGGAGTCGGAGGTTGCAGTAAGGTGAGATCGCACCACTTCACTCCAGCCTGGGCGACAAGAGTGAAGCTCTTTCTCAAAAAAATAAAAGAATAGGGCAGGCGCGGTGGCTCAGGCCTGTAATCCCAACACTTTGGGAGGCTGAGGCGGGTGGATCACGAGGTCAGGAAATAGAGACCATCCTGGCCAACATGGTGAAACCCTTTCTCTACTAAAAATACAAAAATTAGCTGGGTGTGGTGGCATGTGCCTGTAATCCCAGCTACTTGGGAGGCTGAGACAGGAGAATCACTTGAACCAGGGAGTCAGAGGTTGCAGTGAGCTGAGATTGTGCCACTGCATTCCAGCCTGGCTACCGAGTGAGACTTTCTCAGAAAAAAAAAAAAAAAAAAAAAAGAAGGCCGAGCGCAGTGGCTCACGCCTGTTATCCCAGCACTCTGGGAGGCCGAGGCTGGTGGACTGCCTGAGATCAGGAGTTCGAGACCAGTCTGGCCAGCATGGTGAAACACTGTCTCTACTAAAAATACAAAAATTAGACAGACATGGTGGCAGGCACCTATAACCCCAGCTACTCAGGAGGCTGAGGCAGGAGAATTGCTTGAACCTGGGAGACATAGGTTGCAGTAAGCCGAAATCGCACCATTGCACTCTGGCCTGGGCAACAGAGTCAGACTCCGTCTCAAAAAAAAAAAAAAAAAAAAAAAAAAAAAAAACCCAAAAAACCAAAGATTTCTAAAATGCTTCTGGGTGCAGAGTCTCAAATATTGGAATCTGAGACTTTTTTTTTATTTACAGACATTAAAGTCACAAGAAATCTGAAATCAATATTGTTCAAAAAATTCAGGCTATATATTTGTTGAACTTAGAAGTCTTCCAGTTCAAATCCTTTATGTTAAAGAAATAAACACTGAAGACAAAAGCTCTTTGTTAGCAACATACCCAAGGACAAATAGCTTGTTAAGTGCAAACCGAGGACTTTAACCTGGGTTTCCCAACTTGTTCTTGTTTCCTTCCTACTAAATCATTCTCATACTTAAAACGCTTATTTGCCTACAAAAATTCAATTCAGCTGGGTGCTCATGCCTGTAATTCCAGCACTTTGGGAGGCTGAGGCGGGTGGATCACCTGAGATCAGGAGTTCACAACCAGTCTGGCTAACATAGTGAAACCCCATCTCTACTAAAAATACAAAAATCATCTGGGTGTGGTGGTGGGTGCCTGTAATCCCAGCTACTTGGGAGGCTGAGGCAGGAGAATCGCTTGAACCCGGGAGGAAGAGGTTGCAGTGAGCTCAGATCATGCCATTGCACTCTAGCCTGGGCGACAGAGCGAGACCCTGTCTCAAAAAAAAAAAAAAAAAGAAAAGAAAAGAAAAAGAAAATTCCATGGCCTCATGAGAGCTTGTCAGAGAATGATTTATTTCAGGATATAGGCCAAATCGAGAACACAAAAGAAAAACAACACAGGTATATAGATAAAATGTATCTTATTGGCTACAAAACAAGAGGCTAACATGGAGCCAAAAACAATAAACAAACTCATGGAGTTTTTTCTTATGTTCAAGTTTCTCTTCTGAAGGCTAAATGTTGTTATATTTTACACCCTGATATATAGGTCTTTCTAGTTTGAAATATGCTTGAGTTTAGTGTGAAAAGCAAGATGAATTCCATCTCAGATTGTGAAACATAAATAAATTTATTCATGGCTGTTTTAAATGGAGTGGTCTAAAAGATGCAGCTTCAGGAATAGAAAGGTCCAGAAAGGGATGGAGAGTTTAGTTAATTTTAGAATATAGAGAAATACTAGAAGGTAAAACAGCTAGAATATTTTCTTTCTTTTTTTTTTTTTTTTGAGATGGAGTCTCACTTTGTTGCCCAGGCTGGAGTGCAGTGATGTGACCTCTGCTCACTGCAACTCCTCCTCTCGGATTCAAGCGATTCTCCTGCCTCAGCCTCCCAAGTAGCTGGGATTACAGGTGTGTGCCACCATGCCCGACTAATTCAAATTATTTTATTTCTAACATTCCTTCCTTCTGAGCAAATGACATGGTTATATAAAGCTTCTGGGCACGAGCTATTATAAACTATCAAACGATGAATTGTTTGGCTGAACAAGACCAGTTAGACACCTCTCCTACCATTTTGGGTAAAAGAAGGGATAAGGAACTTGTTAAAGTCATAAAGCAAATTATATGCATTTAATATCGAGACTTCACTTCTTTCAGTGATTTTATACTGTGTGGTTTGAGTAAGCCATATAATATATGTACAATATAAGAACAAGGAGCAGCCAAATAAAAAGGACTATTAAATTAGCAACTATACCAGCACTGAGGTCTCTTTTTCAACCAAACATCCCCTTTAGGTCAAAATTTGTTTTTTTTTCCCTAAAGATAGCTGAAGGTAAAGGATGCCACTTGAGCTAAGGAGAAAGAGGCATTTTGAGACCCCAGTCCAAACCACAGAATGCCCTTGCTCTCATTTTTTGCTTTAATACTGATGTGTATAGTAGTTAGCAGTAAACTTTGTCCTCTCATTCCTAGTGTATTTATATATGCTGTTTTCACTGTTTAGAAGAACCATTTCCTACTTCTCCATCTTGCACATTCCCATTTATCCAAGATTGAGGTAAGATGCTTCTTTCTCTGTGAAAACTTAAGGTGGTTTATGCACTTACTGCTATTATACAGAATTGTCTTGTAGTATAATTGCATTTGTAAATCACTGACCATACTAGAAGGTTAATTTCTTAAGATCAGAGACCATGCCTTATTCGACATAGTATTTCCCCCAATATCTAGTACATAATAATCACTCAAATCTGCTGAATGAATGAATGGATACCTCCTATACAATTTATTCTAAAATCATGGCTGGGCATGGTGGCTCATGTCTGTAATCCCAGCACTTAGGGAAACTGAGGCAGGAGGCGCGCTTAAATCCAGGAGTTCAAGATGCCTGGACAACACAGCGAGAACCCCATCACTACCAAAAAAAAAAAAAAGCAAAAGCAATCCAGGTGGCATGGTGGTACATGTCTATAGTCTTAGCTACTCAGGAGGCTGAGGTGGGAGGATTGCTGAGCCTAGGAGGTCGAGGCTGTGATCACACCACTGCATTCCAACCTGGGTGACAGAGCGAGACCCTGTCTTAAAAAAGGAAAAAAAAGGATATTGTCAGACCAACTCCCCAAATGCTAGATGATGGGTCACATTAAGGTTTAAATATAGCACCAGCAGTGCCTCCAACGAAGATGCCCAGAATCTCCTGGGCTGTATCTTTAGCCTGACTTTTCCTATAGTTTTGACCTTTCAGAATCAGCCCAACCTACCCTCCAGAATTAGGGGCATTTTAAGTCACTCTTTGGCAACTGCTGGGTGGCCCTTTTATGCTGCTATCAAACACCTTAACAATCCCTACCTTTGCTGGGCTCTGCATAGGGTATGTAAGTTAGTCATAGTAGCCTCCTACCTGGTAAATTTGATGCTCACTTTGTTCCTATACTGCAGTACATTTTTGTGGCTAGAGGAGGCTCACAAAATTATATTTGACTCCATAGCTCTTGCTAATAACTGCCCTCTCAGTTCATGGAGGCTTGAATTCTTCTTTGTGACTTTTTTTGAATCCAACTGAGAATGATAAAAGAGAATTAGCAGTTGTCTCTTTTTTTCTTTTTGAGATGGAGTCTCGCTCTGTCACCCAAGTTAGAGTGCAATGGCGCAATCTCGGCTCACTTCAACCTCTGCTCACTGCAACATCTGCTTCCCGAGTTCAAGTGATTCCACTGCCTCATCCTCCCAAGTAGCTGGGATTACAGGCATGTGACACCACGCCCAGCTAATTTTTATATTTTTAGTACAGATGGGGTTTCGCCATGTTGGCCAGGCTGGTCTCAAACTCCTGACCTCAGGTGACCCACCCACCTTGGACTCCCAAAGTGTTGTGATTACAGGTAGGAGCTACCGCGCCCAGCCAGCAGTTGCCTACTCCATCCTACATGTAATGGCACTTAAATGTTTACCAGAAAATTCATCTTTTACTGACTTCTTCCTATACCTTTTAAGAGACAGGGTCTCATTCTGTCTCCCAGGCTGGAGTACAGTGGCTTGATAATAGCAGCTCACTGCAGCCTCAAACTCCTGGGCTCAAGGGATCCTTCTGCCTCAGCCTCCTAGGTTGGTAGGACTACAGGCATGTGCCACCATGCCTGGCTAATTTTTTATTTTCTTTAGAGACACGGTGTCATTTTACTCAAGCTGGTCTTGAACTCTCGGCCCTAAGTGATCCTCCTGCCTTGGCTTCCCAAAGTGCTGGGATTACAAACACAAGTCACCACACCTAGCCTCTTCTTACAGCTTAATAGGGTAAAACAACAGACTTCTTAAGAATAAGGCACATAAGCGTCTGGGGTGTTGTGAGACTGAAGAATGTGAGATTTTGAGGATAATGGGCTTTGCACACGCTCTTATAAATCAGTCAGTATCCTTCACATTCAATTCTAGCTCAGCATCTGCTTATTTCTAATGGCTATTATTAAGCTAAAGCTTACGCTATCATTAGTCTATAACATATGCTGGGATCACTTTGTCTTATTCTCTGGTGACAAGTCTGACAAGACAGGAATTTTTTTTTTTTTTTTTGAGACAGAATCTCGCTCTGTCACCCAGGCTGGAGTGCAGTGGTGCGATCTCGGCTCACTGCAACCTCCGGCTCACTGCGACCTCCGCCTCACGGGTTCAAGCGATTCTCCTGCCTCAGCCTCCTGAGTATCTGGGATTAGAGTCACGCGCCACCACCACGCCTAGCTAATTTTTGTATTTTTAGTAGAGATGGGGTTTCACCATATTGGTCAGGCTAGTCTCGAACTCCTGACATCGTGATCTGCCCGCCTCAGCCTCCCAAAGTGCTCGGATTACAGGTGTGAGCCACTGCGCCCAGCCTTTTTCTTTCTTTTTTTTGAGACTGAGTCTCGCTCTGTCACCCAGGCTGGAATGCAGTGGTGCTATCTCTGCTCAACGCAACCTGCACCTCCTGGGTTCAAGCAATTCTCCCACCTCAGCCTCCCAAGTAGTTGGGATTACAGGCATACGCCACCACTAAAAGTACAAAAAAGAATTCCCGTGCCCAGCTAGGAATTCTCTTTATATATGCTGCAGGTAGTGTGAACTGGCATATTCTTTCTGAAAAGCAATTTGACAAAATGCATGAAGAGTTCTAAAAATGTTCATGGCTCTTTCAGCCAGTAACTACACTTTCAAGAATCTACAGAGGCCGAGCACAGTGGCTCACTCCTGTAATCCCTACGCTTCGGGAGGCTGAGGCGGGTGGATCACCTGAGGTCAGGAGTTCAAGGCCAGCCTGGCCAACATGATAAAACCCCGTCTCTACTAAAAATACAAAAAATTAGCTGGGTGTGGTGGCGCCTGCCTGTAATCCCAGCTACTCAGGAGGCTGAGGCAGGATAATCACTTGAACCCAGGAGGTGGGGGTTGCAGTTAGCCAAGATCGCGCCACCGCACTTCAGCCTGGGCAACAAGAGAGTTGAAAGAACTCAGATTTATATATATAAAAATATACATATATTTTATTATATACAAATATATAAAATATTTATTTACATATAATATATAATTACTATAATTTATATATAATATATATTTTAAAATATATTTTATTTATTATTTTATATATATGGTTTTTTTTTTTTTTTAGACGTAGTCTCACTCTGTTGCCCAGCAGGCTGTAGTGTAGTGGTGCGATCTCGGCCCACTGCAACCTCTGCCTCTTGGGTTCAAGCAATTCTCTTGCCTCAGCCTCCTGAGAGTAGCTGGGGCTACAGGAGCGTGCCACCACGCCCGGCTAATTTTTGTATTTTTGTAGAGATGGGGTTTCACCATGTTGGCCAGACCTCGTGATCCTCCCAAAGTGCTGGGATTACAGGCGTGAGCCACCGCGCCCGGCCCAGAGAGATATATTTATATATAGAAAAGTTCATCACATGATTCTTTTATTATCAAAACATTATAATGTATAATAAATAATTAAAAAGTGTTAAATTACAGTACAGTATATCCATATACTGGAATGTATGTAGATACCTACACATGATTAAAAGGAGTTTTTTTAATGACATAAAACAATTTTTATAATATAATGCTATTTTAAAAAATGATTATTGGCCGGGTGTGGTGGCTCATGCCCGTAATCCTAGCACCTTGGGAGGCAGAGGTGGGAGGACTGCTTGAGGCCAAGAGTTCAAGACCAGCCTGGGCAACATAGGGAGACCTCATCTCTACAAATAATTCTAAAAAGTAGCCAGGCATGGTGATGGAATCTCTCAGCCTGGGTGACAGAGTGAGACCTTGTTTCAAAATAAAAAATTTAAAAATTAAAAAAGTAAAAATGATTCTTTTAAAACAAAAACAAGCCGGACGCAGTGGCTCATGCCTGTAATCTCAGCACTTTGGGAAGCTGAGGCAGGTGGATCACCTGAGGTCAGGAGTTCAAGACCAGCCTGGCCAAAACAGTGAAAACCCATCTCTACTAAAAATTCAAAAATTAGCTGGGTATGGGGCTGGGTGTGGTGGCTTACACCTGTAATCCTAGCACTTTGGGAGGCCGAGGCAGGTGGATCACCTGAGGTCAGGAGTTCAAGACCAGCCTGACCAACATGGAGAAACCCGTCTCTACTAAAAATACAAAATTAGCCGGGCATGGTGGTGCATGCCTGTAGTCCCAGCTACTCGGGAGGCTGAGGCAGGAGAATCGCTTGAACCTGGGAGGCCAAGGTTGTGTTGAGCCGAGATTGCCCCACCGCACTCCAGCCTAGGCAATAAGAGTGAAACTGCCTCCAAAAAAAAAAAAAATTAGCTGGTTGTGGTGGCACACACCTGTAATCCCGGCTACTACTTGGGAGTTTGAGGCACGAGAATCGCTTGAACCTGGGAAGCAGAGGTTGCAGTGAGCCAAGACTGTGCCACTGCACTCCAGCCTGGGCATAGAGTGAGACTCTATCTCAAAAAACAAAAAACAAACAAAAAAAACCAAACCAAACAAAACAAACAAAAAAAAACAAGGTCTTGCTCTGTCACCCAGGCTGGAAGTGCAGTGGTGAGATCACAGCTCACTGCAGCCTAGAACTCCTGGGCTCAAAGTATCCTCCTGCCTCACCCTCTGAGTAGCTGGGATCACAGGCATGCACCATCATGCCCAGCGAATTACATTTTTTTCTTTTTTTGAGATGGAGTCTTGCTTTGTTGCCCAGGCTGCAGTGCAGTGACACGATCTCAGTTCACTGCAACCTCCGCCTCCTGGGTTCAAGCAATTCTCTGCCTCAGCCCCCTGAGTAGCTGGGATTACAGACGCCCACCACCACGCCCGGCTAATTTTTGTATTTTTAGTAGAGACGGGGTTTCACCATCTCGGCCAAGCTGGTCTTGAACTCCTGACCTCATGATCCACCTGCCTTGGCCTCGCAAAGTACTGGGATTACAGGCTTGAGCCACCCAGCCTGGCCTTTTTTTTTTTTTTTTTTTTTTTTTTTTGTAGAGACAGCATCTCACGATGTTACCTAGGCTGGTCTCAAACTCCTGGCCTCAAGCAATCCTTCCACCTCAGCCTCTCAAAGTGTTGGAATTACAGGCATGAGTCATTGCACCTGCCAAAAAAAAGAATTCTAAATTGTACATCTAGCTGTAATCATATGTGTGTGTGTGTGTGTGTGTGTGTGTGTGTGTGTGTATGTAGCATATATATAGTGCATATATATAGTGCATATATATAGTGTACATAAAGATGGGAAAGATTAAATACAAGACTAATAGTAGCTCTCTCTGGGTGGTAGGGATTATGGTTGAATATTGTCTTCTTGACATTTTCTCTATATTCCTGATTTCCTACAGTGGCAATATCTATTATCTATATAGATATACAGATACATATTTTTTTTTGAGACGGAGTTTCACTCTTGTTGCCGAGGTTGGAGTGCAATGGCATGGCCTCAGCTCACTGCAACCTCTGCCTCCCAGGTTCAGGCAATTCTCCTGCCTCAGCCTTCTGAGTAGCTAGGATTACAGGTGTGCACCACCATGCCCAGCCAATTCTCCTGCCTCAGCCTCCTGAGTAGCTGGGATTACAGGCGTGCACCACCACGCCCAGCCAATTTTTTTCTTTTTTTGAGACAGAGTCTTGCTCTGTTGCTCAGGCTGGAGTGCAATGGCACGATCTTGGCTCACTGCAACCTCCGCCTCCCAGGTTCAAACGATTCTTCTGCCTTAGCCTCCTGAGTAGCTGGGATTACAGGCGCACGCCACCACACGTGGCTAATTTTTGTATTTTTGCAGAGATGGGGTTTCACCATGTTGGCCAGGCTGGTTATGAACTCCTGACCTCGTGATGCGACCACCTCAGCCTCCCAAAGTGCTAGGATTACAAGTGTGAACCACTGCACTCATCCGGCAATATATTTTTATGTTGAGGGGAAGAAAGCTTTTTAAATACAAAACATGCCAATAAGGATGGATAAAATGTGGTATACGCATACAATGGAATATTATTCAGCTATAAATCCGTGAAGTTCTGATACACTATGACCTCGATGAACCCTGAAAACACTAAGTTAAGTGAGTGTTTTCAGGCCTCCAGGCACAAAAGGACAAATACTGCATGATTCTATTCATATGAAACATCTAGAATAGGCAATCCATAAAATAGAAAGTAGATTGGCGGTTACCAAGGGCTGGGGTAGAGGGGAATAAGGAGTTATTGTTTAATGGGTATCAAGTTTCAGTTGAGGGAAATGAAAAAAGTTCTAGAGATGAACAGTAGTGATGTTTGGCCAACATTGTGATGTATGCCAATGAATTGTATAGTTAAAAACAGCTGGCCAGGCGCGGTGGCTCATGCCTGTAATCCAGCACTTGGGAGGCCAAGGCAGGCGGATCATGAGGTCAGCAGATCAAGACCATCCTGGCTAACATGGTGAAACCCCATCTCTACTAAAAATACAAAAAATTAGCCAGGCGTGGTGGCGGGCGCCTGTAGTCCCAGCTACTCGGGAGGCTGAGGCAGGAGAATGGTGTGAACACAGGAGGCGGAGCTTGCAGTGAGCCGAGATCGCACCACTGCACTCCAGCCTGGGCAAAAGAGCGAGACTGCACCTCAAAACAACAACAAAAAACAAACAAAAAACCAAAAAAAAAAAACAAAAAAAAACCCTGGCTAAAATGGCAAATTTTGTGATATATATATAGATATATCTACACACACACACACACACACACACACACACACACACACACACAGAGTAAAAAACAAAACAAAAAGCCAAAAGAACAGGACCCTAAGAGAGAAAGAAGGATGCTATGGAATGGTAAAGTGAATAGGACATGGTGCTTCCCTTTTACTCTCGTGTACTCAGAGCTGTCTATCTATGGGCACCTGAGGCTCTAGCTGGAGGAAGAAGGAACTGCAGGAAGAGCCCGCCATTAACTTTAGGTCCTCTTTCTGTACAACTGGTTCAGAAAAAACAAGAACCAGGAAGAGGAAAATGTAAAAAGTAAAACTTATGTGTCCAATTACAAAATTTATATTCCCAGCCTTAAGCTTTCTCTAAGCCCTAGCTCCCTATAGCTAACTTACTGCAGAACAATCCCACCTGGAATAATCAGTACCTCTTAAATTTAATAGGTTCTAAGCAAACTCATCACAGAGAATCAGCATGCTATAAACTAGAAACAACGAATAAACATGTTCCCAGCCGTCAAGACTCTTTATAAGCTACTGAAAACAGACTACTGGATTAATAAGTTACCATTATACACCACGATATGAGATAGCGAAAAACATATTATAGAAGAGCAACTTAGGCTAACAGCAGTAAAAGTACAGAGAAAGGGTTGACTATACCTGGAAAGACAGGAAGGGTTTCATGGAGGCTGAATTATACCCTGATTAAGACAGAAGCTGTCCTCTGAATATTATTATAAAACTCTATGAAGCAACTTGGAACAATTAGGGCATCTGAATCGGAAAGTGCTTTTTGGTTACACTTCTTACCAAATAAACTGGAAAAAATCTGTTGTTTCTGAGAAATAAAACAGATCCTTTTGTCAATGGATTCATGCAATTGGGGAAGAAAAGGTGACAGCACAGTCACTACATTCAACTAGATTACCAAATAACAAGCACATTCAAATATTTTCAAATGTTACAGAACATAAAACATTTTCAGAAATTTGGTTCTGGATGATACTCTGTAAGTCTGCCTAAGAATTCCTTTCAAAAAGCTGGTTATTGGCCAGGCGCAGTGGCTCACACCTGTAATCCTCCCAGGACTTTGGGAGGCCAAGGCAGGTGGAACTTCTGAGGTCAGGAGTTTGAGACGAGCCTGGCCAATGTGGTGAAACCCCGTCTCTACTAAAAATATAAAAATTAGCCAGATGTGGTGGTGCGCCTATAATCCCAGCCACTCAGGAGGCTGAGGCATGAGAATTGCTTGAACCCAGGAGGCAGTAGGTTGCAGTGAGCCAAGACTGTGCCACTGCACTCCAGCCTGAGTAACACAGTGAGACCATCCCCCCACCAAAAAAAAAAAAAAAAAGCTGGTTATTTATTTGACCTTTGTATGAAACTGTCTCTGAAACCCCTCATCCCTTAGTTTTGTTTTTTTTTTTTTTGAGATGGAGTCTTGCTCTGTCACCAGGCTGGAGTGCAGTGGCATGATCTGGGCTCACTGAAACCTCTGCCTCCAGGGTTCAAGCGATTCCCCTGCCTCAGCCTCCTGAAGTCCTATCCTTTAGTTTCTGACAGCCTTGGATTTTTCTTTGTTTGGTAACATTAAAAACAAACAAACAAACCTATATATAATTTATTATACCAAATCAATGAACTATTATACCAAATGAACTATTATACCAAATGAACTATTATACCAATGAACTATTATACCAAATCAATGAACCAAAGAAGGTCAGAGAAGCTTGTCTTATTCCAAATAGTCTTTTAGTTTTTTTTTTTTTTTAGACAGTCTTGCTCTGTCGCCCAGGCTAGAGTGCAATGGCACGATTTCAGCTCACTGCAACCTCTGCTTCCCAGGTTCAAGCGATTCTCCTACCTCAGCCTCCTGAGTAGCTAGGATTACAGGCATGCACCACCACACTCAGCTAATTTCTGTATTTTTAGTAGAGACAGTGTTGTACCATGTTGGCCAGGCTGGTCTTGAACTCCTGACCTCAGGTGATCCACCTGCTTTGGCCTCCCAAAGTGCTACGATTACAGGAGTGAGCCACCGCACCCAACCTTAGTTTTTAAAGTTTCTGAAGAGGACACCAATTAAGCTCTGGAAGGGGGAAAAAAAATCACAAATACTGATAGCTTGGATAGTACTAATGTTAGTGACATTCAGTACTGACAGTAGAAAATTAGGGGTATGGAGAAACACTTTACTTGGCCTAAGTGCATTCAATGAATTTTGAGATCCACTACTGCTCTCCCTGTTCCTCACTCCCTAAACTGAGCACTTTCTACTTTTTCATGTTTTGAAGGTCTAAGCACAGAAAGTACTATCATATTGTTTCACAATAATGGCAAAAAGTGTCTTTTCTTCTCAAAAGTTTTTATCTGCTTTAAACTGCCAAAACTCAAAAAGGCAGCATATTCCTGAGTTCACACTTTGTAACAAGTTTTAAACATCCCAAAGTAAAAATAACAAAGTTTTAATTAATGTGTTCCCTACTCTGACATATATATATGTTCATATCTGAGTGTTTCTGAAAATCATATCTATATTTTCATGTATACATTTAATGCAATAGCTTCTTTTTTCCTTCTCAAGAAGCTGTTTTTAACCCAAGTGTATGAGCAAGCCAGGTTATATATAGTATACTAGATGTTCCCAAAGAGGAATATTTCAGATTTGTTAAGGGTTATATAAAGTAACAAATATCTTGGTTCTCAAAAAATCAATTTTAGAAAGAGGGAAAGAAGAACAAAAAGTAAAACTCCTCTCCATCTTCGGTTCAAATATTCAGAAATTTTATGGTTGCCACCTTGTATTATTACTTTGTACGTTTTCCCTGTACAACTATCCTGTGAGGGTTAGAAGACAACACCAGGATGGGGGGAGGGCAGAGAAGCTGCTATAGTGTACACACATGCCACATATCTATTATGTGGCATTAATTCTCTGCGTGATGTTGTGAGGTGTATTAACTACTCAAAAAAATTGCAGTGGCAATATTAACAAAAAAGAATTCACAATATAATTTAATAAGTGCTATAATAAAAAGCAGATACAGGGCATTGTGGAGGCATACACGAAAGGCACCTAACCCTTCTCTGCACAAATGCTGTACAGGTGCTACCAGGAAGGCTTCTGGGAGGAAATAATGCCTATATTAAGACCTGAAAAAGGAGAAACAGCAATGTCCTTGGAAATACTGATGGGGATTTCTTTTCTATAATGGTTTAAGGAACGAATTCTGCATGGTAGGTGCTCAGTACCTATATAAGGCAGGTGAACCTCTTACCTTCCCTTTTTTTTGGTGGGGGAGGAGGGACAGGAGGAAATTAAAAGGCCAAGAATGAGTATAATCAAGTATAAATGAAAACAGCAAAAGCAGGATAAATTAATGAATACTATGAACTCTGGTTTTGACACACCTTAGTTCAAACCTGGAATTCTAGCACTTACTAGGCTACGTGATCTTAGGTAGGCACCTAACTCTCTAAGCCTCAGCTCTCTCATCTGTAACCAACAACAACCAACTCAAAGGGATATTGTGAAGCTGAAATGGTACGATATAATACATATTGATTTGTCTAGTTGTCTAATTAGTCTCCTCACCAGATCGTAAGCTACAAAAGACAGAGGCCATGCAGAATATCTTGTACCACTGTCCAGTAAGTCCTTGGCAAAATGCTTAGCACGCAGATGTTTAATAAACGTTGACTATCATTAAGTACTTTGTTATGATGATTTCAATTACAGCAACACCATGACCTCGGCACAGTATTATAGGTTTGATTATATTCTGAAGAGATCAAAAATTACTAACTGGTTCCTTATTTCAATGTAAAACACTTATAAAATCAATGCTGCCCCTACACTAAAAGTTTTACTAATTATGAGAGGCATAAAGTCTTCCAAATCTGAACAAAAACTTTAGAAAAACATGTCCTTGGAGATATTACACAGTTAAATCTATACTGCAAGGAAGGTATAATTTTTTTTCCTCTCTAAAGAAGTGTTTCTCAGCTAAGGGTGCCTGCCCTTTGCCTGCAAGGTACGTATACATGGCAATCTCTAGAGATATTTTTGATTGCCACAACTAGGAGTATAGGTCTGTTACCAGCACCTAGTGGGTGAAGGCCAGGGATGCTGCTAAATATCCTGTAATGCACAGGACAGCTCTCACAGCAAAGAATTATCGAGTTCAAAATGTCAACAGGGCTGAGGTTGGGGGGCAGAGGAGTTGAAGGGTAGAAAGGTAGGCAAAGATATAAAATTGCATAAACATTTACAAGTAGGTTAGGTTTAATATTATCAGAATTCATGTGTATTATTGCAACTTATTCATTTTTACCAAGTTTTAGATTTTTAAAAAGAGGTTTGAAAGGACTTAGATTTGTTTTTTCTAATATGTATCTAAGATTAAGAGAACGGTCTCTAAAATATTTGAGGTCCATGAAAATATATAAAAGCTTTCAATAACTCAGAAAAAATAATCTCTAAATATAATTTCAGGTCTTACAAATGAAGCTCTAATCTGTATCTCAGAGTAACAAGGCACAGTCACATCAAGCTGAAAGGAAAAAGATGCATGTGGCTTACATTTTCTACTATTTTATCAGTACACTGATTTTCAATGTACAAAGCAGATTTAAATGATGTGTTAATTTTATTCATTTATATATGCAAGGTGGAAGGAACATGTGGCACTTTGCCATTCCACTACCTTTTCTTTGCCATTTAACTCTGCTATTTCTTTATTAATGATCTCTATCCACATTATTATTATTTTTTTTCAGACAGAGTCTCACATGATCTCTGCTCACTGCAAACCTCTGCCTCCTGGGTTCAAGCCATTCTCCTGCCTCAGCCTCCCAAATAGCTGGGATTACAGGCACGCACTACCATGCCTGGCTAATTTTTGTATATTTAGTAGAGACGGGTCTCACCATGTTGGCCAGGCTGGTCTCAAACTCCTGACCTCAGAAGATCTGCCCACCTTGGCCTCCCAAAGTGCTGGGATTACAAGTGTGAGCCACTGCGCCCAGCCCCTACCTCCACATTATTTCTGATTCTTGTTTTATAGCACATGTACATTAGTCACCTATTTAAAATTGTGAGGTGATACCAAACACAGTAATGATTAAATTTTTTTTTTTGAGATGGAGTCTCGCTCTGTTGCCCAGACTGGAGTACAGTGGCGTGGTCTCGGCTCACTGCAAGCTCCCCATCCTGGGTTCACTCCATTCTCCTGCCTCAGCCTCCCGAGTAGCTGGGACTACAGGTGCCCGCCACCATGCCCGGCTAATTTTTTTTTTAATTTTTAGTAGAGACGGGGTTTCACCGTGTTAGCCAGGATGGTCTCGATCCCCTGACCTCGTGATCCACCCGCCTCGGCCTCCCAAAGTGCTGGGATTACAGGTGTGAGCCACCGCACCCGGCCGGTTAAATTTAACTTATGGCAGTAAAAGCGTAAACTTTGGTTACCATCACAGATGGAACTGGCTGGGTGCAGTGGCTCACGCCTGTAATCCCAGCACTTTGGGAGGCCAAGGTGGGCAGATTATTTGAGGTCAGGAGTTTGAAACCAGCCTGGCCAACACAGCAAAACACTGTCTCTACTAAAAATACAAAAAAAAAAAAAAATTATCCGGGTGTGGTGGTGGGCGCCTGTAATCCCAGCTACTCTGGAGACTGAGGCAGAAATTTCTTGAGCCCAGAAGGCAGATGTTGCAGTGAGCAGAGATCACACCACTGCACTCTAGCCTGGGTGACAGAGTGAGATTCTGTCTTAAAAAACAAAAAAACAAATGGAATCATCAGGCAGAGGTGCATCTAGGTGGTAACATCACAAGTAGTTGTTGTTATTTATTAAGTATCTTCTGGAATAACATTAATCTTTGGTCTCATATTTGAGAAAAATAGTGTCATCAAAATACAATAAACTGACATACAATTTTTTTTTTTGAGACGGATGCTCACTCTGTCACCCAGGCTGGAGTGCAATGGCACAATCTTGGCTCACCGTAACCTCCGCCTCCTGGGTTCAAGTGATTCTTTTGCCTTAGCCTCCCGAGTAGCTGGGATTACAGGCATGTGCCACCACAGCTAGCTAATTTTTGTATTTTTAGTAGAGACAGGGTTTCACCATGTTGGCCAGGCTGCTCTTGAACTCCTGACCTCAGATGATCTGCCTGCCTAGGCCTCTCAAAGTGCTGAGATTACAGGCGTGAGCCACTGCACCCGGCTGACTAATACATTTTAAACAATTTTTGAAACAGTTTTAATAAGAAATCTAACCCATGTAAAGCTACTGCTAAAGCCTTTTGGCTGAGGTAGTAACTAATGAGGCTCTGTAAAATATACAGGTGCATTAGGGTAAAAAAGTCTACCTCTATTGAGCCATGAGTCCAAAATCTTAAATAATAAAAAAAAGTCTGGCCGGGCGCGGTGGTTCACACCTGTAATCCCAGCACTTTGGGAGGCCGAGGCAGGCGGATCATCTGAGGTCAGGAGTTTGGGACCAGCCTGGCCAGCATGGTGAAACCCCGTCTCTACTAAAAACACAAAAATCAGCCGGGCATGGTGGCACGCACCTGTAGTCCCAGCTACTTGGGAGGCTGAGGCAGGAGAACCGTCTGAACCCGGGAGGCAGAGGTTGCAGTGAGCCAAGATCGTGCCATTGCATTCCAGCTAGGGTGACAGAGTGAGACTCCATCTCAAAAAAAAAAAAAAAAGGTCTATCTCATCTGAGGAAATGTTGGGGTTTATTTCTACATTATTAGAGACATATTTTATATTAATATTCAAGAACACTTACATAATTTTGCCATATACGCAAATATCTTGAGCTTGAAAAGTATGATGAAAATCCTTAACTGTCTACTAAAATTATTTTTTTGACCATCATTTAATTTCATACAAAAATCAAAGTGCCACAGTCCTTCAAAGACATCAGAGTGACAATATCAAAGATTTTTCTAAGCTGATATTTTACATCTGAAAGGTCCAGACAATTATTTGTGCATGTACCCACACAATTTAACAACTTGCAAAGTGATCATACCTCTTCAATACCAGCTATATTATTCACAGCCAGTTTTTTTAGAGAACTCTGAAGCTTTTTGTCATCAGCTGTGGCTGTTCTATGTACCACCTTCTTCTTTCTGCGAGCTGTACCCTGAAAAATAACCAAACAGAAGCAGAAGTGTTAGCATGCCTGGCATCTGGCAACTGCAATCACATCTTACGTATCACAATAATCTAAAACCCACATTAAAAAATGGACAAAATAATAATGATTAATGTTATAAGACTTCTCAGAGGTTGTGATTGTCAGCCTAACGCAGATTTCTAAAGGTTGGTTCTAGCCAGTTCCTTTTTTTTCCTTATCAGCTTTTTCAGGTTGAATTATTCTTATCTAATATCCAGCCTTTGTCATTTCAACACAAGATACTGTTTGCTAATAAAACATAATTTATAACTTCAAGACAATTTAAATACTTTATAACAATTTTAAAACATTATCTTTTCTTATAGTAACTACCACCCCCTGCCAGTAGTCTAAAGATATTCTGAAATTTGGGGAATTAGGACATAACTGAAAATTAATGTCTACATTACAGTAGGAGGAAAAAAATCAATAAATATATAAACAAATCAGATAATTTCAAATGGGATTAAGTACTATTAAGAAAAAAGCAAAACTAGAGCACAGCAAGAATGACTAAGTAGGGGCAAAGCAATACTTTATTAGAAGGTCCAGGAAAGCCCCCTCTGAAGAGGTAACATATGAGTTGAGACCCATAACTAGGGCAAGAATGATCAAAGCAGAATGAAACAAGGTTGAACTTGTCCTTTCTAGAAGAGAGAAAATGGGCCAGTATGGCTAGAGCAGAGTGAATAATGGGAACGGAAGAGGAATATGAAATCAGAAAGATAGGCAAGGACCAGATTATGTAGCCTAGAATGCCATGGGCAGGAGCTAGATTTTATTGATTGCAATGGGAAGCCATTGAAAGGTTTTAAGCATGGGAGTGACTTGATCTGATTACTTATGACTGAAGTTGCTATGTAGAAAATGGATTATAAAGAGACCAGTCAGGAGGCTCCTGTAGCCGTCCTGGCCAGAGATGAGGGATATGGCAGTGAAGATGGTGAGGGGTCAGATTCTCACAAGAGACCACATGACTTTGCTGATGGATTACACGTGGGATATGAGAAAAAGAGGACATTTGGATGATGCTTAGAATCTTGGCCTGAGCAAACAGGTTGAAAATTATACTAGTTACTGAGAAAGAAAAAGTTCATTTCTAAATTGATACTGTGAAACTCTAAATACATTTTTCCATTGAAATACTATTTAAAATAATGGATTCCTGGATCAGTTTATTAAGTCTTGAGGGTTAAATCTTTCTAAAACTGGTAGGAGTAAGGAGAAAGGAATAGTGGTTTCAATCTCTGGGTAGCTCCTATAGTAGTACTCAGGGAATCAGCCTTATAGAGGTAAGGTAGGGGCTTCAGTCTCAGCAATTCCGGTGGGAGTGGAGGAGAGATCTGACAGCAGAGGATGCCTTGAAATCTAGTTGCTGAAGGACTGACTATTTACATAGGCACTCATTTGTGAAGCATTCCTGACTCAGGGATAGCTCAACTGCTTGGTGCTTGTTCAACTCGAATGATCCTCAGGCACCTCAAATTCAATATGTCTTAAAGCTTATCAGTCCACCAATCTATTCTTATTTCCTAACTTTTGTAGCTGGTGGTACCACCATATACTCAAGTCTCTAAAATCATGAATCTGAGGGTTATCCTAGATTCTTCTGCATGCCCTTTACCCCCCATATCCCATCAGTCACTAAATCGTGTCAATTCCAACTCCTAAATTTGTATCCCATATAATAGAGGTCCCCAACCCCCAGGCCACTGACCAGTACCAGTCTGTGACCTGTTAGGAACACGGCAGCACAGCAGAAGGTGGGGTAGGGGGCATGAGCGAGCATTACTGCTTGGGCTCCACAGCCAGTCAGATCAGCGGCAGCATTAGATTCTCATAGGAGGGCGAACCGTTGTGAGCTGCGTATGCGAGGAAACTAGGATGCGCACTCCTCATGAGAATCTAACTAATGCCTGATGATCTAAGGTGGAACAGTTTTATCCCAAAACCATCATCCTCCCATCCGTGGAAAAACTGTCTTCCACGAAACCAGTCCCTGGTGCCAAAAAGATTGCGGACTGCTGCCTTAGACTCTAGCAATAGCGTCTCAATTGTTCGCCTATAGGCCAAACTTCCATTTTGTTCCATTTTCCACAACGCCAGCAGCTACCTTTCTAAAATGGCAGTCATTTCCTTCTTAAAATCCTTTAATAGTTGCCCACTGCCTATAGGATAAAACTCCAAGCTCCTTAGTATGGCATATAAAAGTATAATGGAATCCCAAACTACCTGGTCATTTCATTTCCTGCCATTCTCTATCCATTACGTACACTAAAGAACAGCTGTACCGGCCGAGCGCGGTGGCTCACACCTGTAATCCTAGCACTTTGGGAGGCTGAGGCGGGCAGATCATAAGGTCAGGAGTTTGAGACCAGCCTGACAAACATGGTGAAACCAAGTCTCTACTAAAAATACAAAAATTAGCCAGGCGTGGTGGCGCGTGCCTGTAATCCCAGCTACTCAGGAGGCTGAGGCAGGAGAATCGCTTGAACCCAGGAGGTGGAGGTTGCAGTGAGCCGAGATCACGCCACTGCACTCCAGCCTGGGTGACAGAGTGAGACTCCGTCTCAAAAAAAAAAAAAAAAAAAAAAGGCCGAGGCGGGCGATCACGAGGTCAGGAGATCAAGCAAGACCATCCTGGCTAACATGGTGAAACTCTGTGTCTACTGAAAAAAATACAAAAAATTAGCCGGGCATGCTGGCGGGTGCCTATAGTCCCAGATACTTGGGAGGCTGAGGCAGGAGAATGACATGAACCTGGGAGGCGGAGATTGCAGTGAGCTGAGATTGCGCCACTGCACTACAGCCTGGGCGACAGAGAGAGATTCCATCTTAAAAAAAAAAAGAGGCCGGGCACGGTGGCTCACGCCTGTAATCCCAGCACTTTGGGAGGCCGAGATGGGCAGATCACCTGAGGTCAGGAGTTCAAGATCATCCTGACCAACATGAAGAAACTCCATCTCTACTAAAAATACAAAAATTCAGCTGGGCATGGTGGCATATGCCTGTAATCCCAGCTACTCAGGAGACTGAGGCAGGAGAATTGCCTGAATCCAGGAGGCGGAGGTTGCAGTGAGCTGAGATCGTGCCATTGAACTCCAGCCTGGGCAACAAGACCAAAACTCCGTCTCAAAAAAAAAAAAAAAAAAAAAAGAATAGCTGTACCATATTAAAGCAAGCCATTCCATTAAGTACTGTGTTATCTTAGCACCATATGTGCCTTTGCAAGTATGGAAATGACAACCCTTTTTACTCTATCTCATGAACCCTCTTACCTATTTCTTTTTTTTTTTTTTTTTTTGAGACGGAGTCTTGCTCTGTTGCCCAGGCTGGAGTGCAGTGGTGCAATCTTGGCTCACCGCAACTTCCACCTCCCGGGTTCAAGTGATTCTCCTGCCTCAGCCTCCCAAGTAGCTGGGACTACACGTATGCGCCACCACACCAGGCTATTTTTGTACTTTTAGTGGAGACAGGGTTTCACCATGTTGGCTAGGCTGGTCTTGAACTCCTGACCTCAACTGATCCACCCACCTCAGCCTCCCGAAGTGCTGGGATTACAGGCGTGAGCCACCACCCATTACCTTTCTGCCAGCCATTACCTTTTCGCCTAGTGATAAATTGTTTATCCTTTAAACAAGAGCTCAGTGATAACTTCCTTGTCTCCACTAGGCAAGAGTACCTTGTACTTCATTATAACACTCACTATTCTGCGTTATAATTGTGAGCATCTCTCTCCCAAGCAGAGCTGTGATCTTGTTTATCTTCTATGTGCTGGCACACAGTAGGTGCTCAATATACAACAGCTAAATCGAATGTACCAACCACAGTTTTAAAATACACAATGGCGATGTGGTACATCAAGCTCTTCTAGGTATATTCTATGGTTCTTGAATATCCCTAGTTTCTGCATTGGCACATCACATCACACTTGATGCTACAATGTGACTACTGTGGTTACATGAGTGTGTTATTCTAACTCCAGACTCATATAACTGTATCACTGTGGGAGAAGGAGAAAGTACTGGCTCTTCTTCCCTTCCCTTCCCTTGTGCTCATCCCCAGGAACTGTGGTTATCATCAGTGTAAATGACACAGTGGGACCCACTACAAAAAGTAGTGTCCTACCTACCACTTCAGGTCTGAGGTAAGTACTATTCTTTCTTTCACTTTTGCAAAGATTGTGTTGGGCAGAGATATGGGTAGAATATTCTCCTTGAGCCTGGTGCCACAGCTGAAGAGAATCAAAGACTTCAGTTGCTCACAACTAGTTCTTCCTTAGGCTTTAAAAAGTACAGGGAATAAGAAAGCTGATATTCATATTCACCAACATGGAAGAACAGGTAAGAATTTGTGAGGAAAACCTGGCAATGAACAAAATATATAATCAACTTAAGCATCTCCAGCTAAACCTCTGTACAAGTAGGTAACATCCAGTCAAGACAAAGTAACCCTAACATCTGGTATGCCCTGCAAGTGAGTCTAACCATAATAATAGCTATAATTTATTAAGCATCTACTCTGTGCTAGACACCACATTAGGTGTTTTATAAATATTACCCTAATCTTTAAACACCTTATGTAGGATTATTTCTATTTTGCAGATAAGAAAGTGGAAGCTTAACAAGGTTGGATAACTTGTTCACATCATATAACTAGCAGATGGTAAGAGTTAGGATTCAAACAAATGTGGCTATTTCCATTGCATCATCAGAGAGAAAAGTGTTCTAGTTACCTATTTTAGATCTAGACAAGTTATTTTCAAATTGGAATGTGGTTTGATCTTGATTATTGAAAAGATTTTAGATTTTCAATGACCACAAATCCGAAATAATAACACTATCTGGTAATCATACATTCTCCTATCAATTTTTCTTATGCCACACTCACCTTGCCCCCTATCCGGACCTGAGCCTGAAGTTTGGCTAACTTTTCTTGATTCATGCTGTTGGTAAATCTAGGGGGGGAAAAATAGATTTGTTAAAGTCACTCTTTTGCCGAAATTAACAAACTGTTTATGCAACAGTACCTTCTGGTTCACTGAGCTTGTAGTATGCATCAACACCATGACCATATTAATACTGTCTATATTCTTAATAAACATTAATAACTTGTTCTAGCTTCATAAACCAGATATTTTTAAAAATCAAAATTAAATTACCATGAGGGAATCAAATATACAAACAGAAAGTAGAATGGGATTCAAAGTCACCTATTCAAAGATCCCTCCTTAAAACATGATTCAATCCTTTGGCATTCAGTTAAGCCTAACCAATTATGAAATCTCTGTAGGCAAGCCAGTTTTTTTCCCCCAAAGATTTTTACAGCAGAGAGCTGTTACCAAATGTTATTAGCAAAATCTTCAAGTAGATTTTTTTCCTCCCAAATCACATTCTGTATTTCTTATAAACCATAAAGATGACAAAAGGAAAAAAAAGCTGAACAAAGAAGAAATTCAACAAAAGGCTGTCTAGCTGTCAAGATATCAAGTAGTCATGTCCTCTATTCAAGGTCAGATGGTATGTTAATAATGGGGAAAGAGAACCAGGTTTTCAGACATTTGGTGCTTCTGCAGCACTCTCCAGAGTTCATTCAATACCCTGCACTGATATAGTATGTTATACTTGTCAAGACATTCTTGCATACAGGGTAAAATGCTTCATTGCACAATTTAACAAAAACATATCTTTGCTACAGTAATAAATGTTGGGGGGGGGCAGAGAGGAGACTCCTAAAACAAGCTTTTTAAAGTTAATCTTGATTTTGAAGATTCTAAAATTATAGTCATGAATCTAGTCTGGTCAGTGATAATCCCACTAAGAAAAAAACATTCTTAAGTTTATAATGGGTCATCACATTCCACATTACATAAACAAAGAAAAGCCAAATTCAGGCCCGGCACGGTGGCTCACGCCTGTAATCCCAGCACTTTGGGAGGCCGAGGCGGATGGATCACCTGAGGTCGGGAGTTCGAGGCCAGCCTGACCAACATGGAGAAACCTGTCTTTACTAAAAATACAAAATTAGCCGGGCGTGGTGGCACATGCCTGTAATCCCAGCTACTCAGAAGGCTGAGGCAGGAGAATCGCCTGAACCCGGGAGGCGGAGGTTGCGGTGAGCCAAGATCATGCCATTGCACTCCAGCCTGAGCAACAAGAGCGAAACTCCGTCTCAAAAAAAAAAAAAAGCCAAATTAAAAGTCTTGTTTTACTTGTTCTGCAGATCAACAAATCATTACTGAGATGTGAGGGAGGGAATAAGGGACTAGGTTGTTATCAAATCTTCTTTGGCCAATTCTCTAAACCCTGTATAGTCATCATTCACATGAAAAAAATACTGTTTGCTTCATTTGAGAGATTAAAAAAAGCAGCATCAAAGACTATATAATTACTAACCATTTTGTACTTTGACACTATCCTTAGGCAATAACCTATATATCTATCTCTTCTTTAAGGCTAATGTCCAGATCCCAAATAATATTTAGAATTTATGATTCTTCACTCTGCTCAGCGCTGTATCACAATGCTGAAGCAGCTAAAAACACTTTTATAGGAGGAAGTGTGTTTAGAGTCCAAAACAAGAAGTCTTAAATGTGTGCCAATCTTAGCTCTGCCATAGACTTAAATTTGATGACTTAAATCCCAATTCCTATGCTCAAATATCCACAGAAAAGGACCAACATTCACTTTTCTCAAAGGAATGTGGCCATGAGAGTGTAGTGAACTAACAAAGAGCCAAAGGAATTTATTGCAAAAAAAAAGGGGCTAAGGAAAAACATTAGACCTAGATACTTGGTAAACCCTTTGGGATTCTTCTGCATTTTGAAGTAACAATTCCCAAGAGAACAGACAGAGGTTGGGATGCCAAGACAAAGTCTTGACTTGTTTGAAATAAAAGCAAGAACAAAATTAACTCTTCAAATCAAGGTATAGATGAAAGAACAGATTCCATTCCAGGTGGTCAGGACAACAGAATTGAGAAATTTTGTTCCTAAGGAGTATCTCAGAGAAAAATGATTTTAGGGAGACTGAGAGCTCAAGGCAGTAGGGGAGGAACAAGAGTAGTCTTTTGTTTCTTGGCAAGTTGTGGTGTGTGGAATTCAAGTAGGAAAGAGGACTGGACTCAGTCTATGCGATGTCAAGCTCAGAATCTGGAGTAGACCTCCAAGATCACCTGGTTTAATTCTCTATTCTCAATCAACCTCTACTTTATTGCACCCATCATTCCTATCTGTGATGTCATCTCAACATCTGCTAGCACCAGCAAAGTATAAATTACAAACGAAACAGTTCCCTCCCTCCCATCTTAATAGATTAGGAAATAAGGGCCCAGAAGGGAGAAGTCCCTTCCTAGGCCCAAAAGGGAGAAGTAACTTCCTAAAGCCACATGATTAATGAGTTCTTCCTTGGGGATTCCAGGATCTTTTAGCACTGTTCTCAAGGACTCAAGAAAGGGTGTAAACAGGTTTATATTTATTAAGTGCCTAAGTTAGAAGCATTGTGGTAGGCACTTTCACATACATCATGTTTACACAGAGATAAAAATAATTGCAACCTTGAGTCCTGACTTTTTATTATGTAGGGTTTCTCTAAGACAAGCACAGGCTTTGGAATCAGAAAGACCAAGGTTCTACCAGTTGGGAAAGGTATTTTTCTTCTCTGAACTTGTATTCCTCCTGCATTTGGAAAGGTATAACACCACGTACTTCACAGGGTTGTTTTGAGGGTTAAAACATTATCAACCACAGGGAATGGTTCACAGAAGATACACAGTTACTGGTAACTATTGTTACCACTCCCGAGGGGACAACTATGGTAAACTGCAAGAATGTGGGAACGGAAGTTGAAACCGCCATTCACTAGCTGTGCAACACTGAGCCTGTCGGTCAGCAGGCAGTGGGAGGGGGGTTATAAAGATGGGCAAGGGACGCCGACTTGTAAACAAACACTGCCATTACAAGGTGAAGAGTGCTGTAACTGAGTTCGGTTCCCTGGACTCAAGGGCGGGAAGTGGTAACCTCAGCTTCCCTATCTGTAGACTGGGAGCATCAAATGAGATGACAACAGAGAGCCTGTATAAAGCTCAAAGCACACAACACTGCTGTTGTGAGCAAGGAGTAATGGAACAGAGGAGGGGCGTCCACCTGCCTCCTGGGACAGGGTCTGGGCGGCAACAGGGCGGGCCCGCTCGCTCCCACAGGGGGCGGTGGTGCTGGGGACCTTCCCACAGGTGCCGACCCCCAGCTGCGCCGCCGGTAACCGACAGGCCAAGCCAGCCGCCTCCGCCCCCGCTCGCCGCACCACGGCGGAAGTGGCAGCCTGAGCGGTTGGCGGGTGTCGGAAGGGGAGGGCGGGGGGAGACCGTGCGCAGCGGCCTATGGCCGTGAAGTGGCGGGACCGCCGGGGGTCTCACCTGAAGCAGGGAGGGTCCTCCAACACCAGCACGCGGCAAGAGAAAGATGGCTGCCTCAGCCGAGACAGAGAAAGACGACGGCGGCGGCGGCGGCGGCGGGAGCAGATCCACGTGATACAGCCGACCCCGCCTCTCCCTCTCCGGGGCAGCCTATCCCGGGAGCGAACATCTGAACTCCAACGCCCCGCCTGCTTTGCGCATCCCTCTTAGTGCTAGTGGCGGCAGGTGCAGGTGGCCGCGCGGCATCCTGGGGCTTGCAGTCTCCCGAGCGTTCTGTTGTGTCCCTGCCTACAATTTTAGGGAACCTAATAAAAGGGTGGTCGGTATGTTTTTATTTGGGTGTGTACTTTTGTTAGGTCGCTTTTTCGCTATGCATTAAGTACGGACTTTAGGACTCAACTAGTACCAGGAAGAAAAAGACCGGACATTTTCACCTGTTTGTTATACAGCGAAGGGGAAAAATTGGGAAGAAATCCTCAAGCTACAAGAAAAATAACCAGAAGCTTTACACTTTAGCCTGCAGTGACTTATATCCTGGTGTCCTAAGTCCACCTAAGTCAGTTTTGCAATAAGAGGTCCCAAGTTTGGTTTTCTTGGAGCTTGCATCAGTTGGTTGCATCATCCCTGAGTAGAAGATTTGCGGTTGCAAGGAAAAATAAGGTACAGAGCTTCTCCAGCGGGAAAGTGCATGTCTGCACGGCACGAGCCCACGCACCGCAGAACAGGCTTGCCAGGTCTCCTCAGAGACCCTCGCAGGAACCTAACAATGAAATCCAGTTGTCCAGTCTTGATTTGTGGAGGGGTAAGGAGAATCCGAGGCCAGTGGGCAATCCGCCCACTGTTGGGAGCGACTGACCTCACGAATCAATAATTTGCTTTTGACTAGGAAGTGCAGCGGTTCTTGGGGGGAGGGGCTGGACTGGGTGGCGGACGCGAGGAGCAACGGTTCTCCCGAACCTCTCCCCCGCCCCTACTATCTTGGCCTACATTTTCCCGCTCCGTCCCGGGACCTGGACACCCAGAATCCACGAAAAGCAACTCGCGCTCGAGAACAGCTCTCGTACCCTTCTACGTGATCTGCACCTTTAAGCTCACTCCATCCCAAACCGGACCCCGGAGGCACCACCCACATCCGTCTAACATCACTTCCTTCAGAGTTTGAAAAAAAAAAATCTGGGAAGTAGAGGTGTTGTGCTGAGCGGCGCTCGGCGAACTGTGTGGACCGTCTGCTGGGACTCCGGCCCTGCGTCCGCTCAGCCCCGTGGCCCCGCGCACCTACTGCCATGGAGACGCGGCCTCGTCTCGGGGCCACCTGTTTGCTGGGCTTCAGTTTCCTGCTCCTCGTCATCTCTTCTGATGGACATAATGGGCTTGGAAAGGGTCAGACCGCGTTCTTATCTTCTCTTTACTGATCTTTACTATACTGATCCCAGTATAATCTCTTCTTGCCCTAGCACCGTTCCCCTCCCATTCTAACTCTTAGGCCACTCCAGATTTCTTTTTATCTTCCCCAACCGCTCCTGGAGTTTGAAGATTTCTTGGGGTAGAGAGTAGCGGGTCTGGGGAATGGAGAAGTTGTACTTGAGGCCTCTCTAAATTATTGGATTGGGGGGAAGGAATGGCCCGTAAATTAAGGAAAGCATGTTAAGAGCCCAGCATAGTGCCTAGCACTTGGGAGGTCCTGAGGAACGGTCACCTTCCCACCTGGGAGAAATAGAGCCGTTGGGGACCTGCATATGCAGAGGACCCTGTTCTGGGTCTGAAGATTTCTCTCGTTACTTCTTCCGCGAAGAGCTAGGTTACTGCCACTTGCTTGCCTTTGGGAAACAGCACCTGCATCCCAGGTAGCTGTATCTAGTGCATAAGAAGAGCCAAGCGAATGGTAGAAGGTCTGCTGTTTAAGGGTCCCCAACAATTGTCCTTGCTGTGGTTCAGCGAAGTTTTTTTGTAAGTGAGCGATCAGTGGTTATGAATGGAGGTTAGGAGGTGTGGCCCCCTACTCCATCCATTACCTACATCTCCATTCTAAGTTTTAACACCTCTCTCCTCATCAGCCCTTACTTAGTTGAAAGTTGGACTGACAGTCTGTGAACTCAGAGTTTATGCTTTTCTAAGTAGATGAATTGTAGCATGGATCCCAACCCCTCTTCCTTTTTTTTTTTTCACTGACCTTACTGTATGGAATGATTCTGCTGCAATCCTTCTGTTTTTGTTTTCTCTTATCCTCTCTATTTTCACATCTATTGGTGAGTAATAAGATTGGGTGGGCATTCATTTTGCCTGAATGCAATCATTCCTTCATTCCGTAAATAATTTTTGATCACCTCCTATATTTCAGGCACTGTCCTAGGCACTAGGGATATAGCTGTAAACAGGACAGACAAGGTTCCTACTCTGGTGGAGCTTATATTCATGTCAGAGAGACAGAGTAGACTCATGAACAAATTAATAAGACAGTTTCAACTAGGAACAAGTGCTGGGAAAACAATAAGACTGTGATGGAATAGGAAGTAGAAAGGCTGGGGAGGTTGGTGGAGCTGGCATCACTTGAATTATGAAGGTCAGGAGAAGCTTTTTGGAGAAGGTGATATGTGGGTTTCCATCTCAGTGATGAAACTGCATGACAAATCCTGTTAGGCCAGAATGTTTTAAATACTGACAATCCCATTTTAAAACAGACTACCGTTTTTTTTTGTTGTTGTTTTGTTTTGTTTTTTAGACAGAGTCTCACACTGTTGCTCGGGCTGGAGTCCAGTGGCATGATCTTGGCTCACTGCAACCTCCGCCTCCTGGGTTCAAGCGATTCTCCTGCCTTAGCCTCCCGAGTAGCTGGGATTACAGGTGCCTGCCACCACGTCTGGCTAATTTTTTGTATTTTTAGTAGAGACGGGGTTTCACTATGTTGGCAAGGCTGGTCTCAAACTCCTGACCTCATGATCTGCCCGCCTCGGCCTCCCAAAGTGCTGGGATTACAGGCATGAGCCACTGCGCCCAGCCAGCTACTGTATATTTAAAGTTGTAAGTACTGAGAGTAACAGAAGAGTAGAGTGTTGGGTACGTGGGTTTAGATCTGAGTTTTTTCTTTGCTGTTTTTTCTGTTTGTTTGTTTGCTTTTGTTTTTGAGACGGAGTCTCACTCTGCCAGGCTGGAGTGGAGTGGTGCAATCTCGGCTTACTGCAACTTCTGCCTCCCGGGTTCAAATGATTCTCCTGCCTCAGCCTCCCAAGTAGCTGGGACTACAGGCATGTGCCACTATGCCCAGCTAATTTTTTTTTTTTTTGTATTTTTTTGTATTTTTAGTAGAGATGGAGTTTCACCATGTTGGCCAGGCTGATCTCAAACTCCTGACCTCAGGTAATCCTCCCTCCTTGGCCTCCCAAAGTATTGGGATTATAGGCGGGAGCCACTGCGCCAGGCCTAGATCTGAGTTTTAATTTGTTCTGCCACTCACTAGCTGAGTAGCCTTGGGCAAGTTTCTTAACTCTCAAAGCCTCCGTTCCTCATCTGCAAAATGGGCATCATAACTACCTCAGACACTCAACAAATAATTTGCTCTGTTCAAGTTACTGTGTTAGGTGTAGGTAATACCTTGGAATCAGGTATTTTGTATTTTTATTCCTTGTTAGATATTAAGCTTTGTGTGGTTGTTCCAGTTACCATTGTTGTGTAATAAATCACTCCAAAATTTAGTGGGCATGAAGAAATCATTTTATTATGCTCACAATTGTGTGAGTAAGGAATTCAAACAAGGCACACTGGGAAAGGCTTGTCCCTGTTCTATGATGACTGGGGCCTTGGCTAAGCTGGTTACCTCTCCATGTGATCTTTCCGCATGGGCTCCTATGGGTTTCCTCACAGTAGCTTTATGGGAGGCTGGATTCCAAGAGTGCGTGCCATAAGAGAACAAGGTGGAAATGCATGGCATTTTTGTCACCTAGCCTTACAAGGCACATAGCATCACTTCCACAGTACCCTGTAGGGGCAGATTCAAGGGAATGGAATATTAGGACCCCCACCCTCACCCCCAATGGGAGGTATGTTGAGGTCACATTGTAAGAAGGGCATATCTGCCACAGTGAACCAGGACTATTTCTGTCTTGTTCATGCTCAGGAATATTTGTTGAAAGAGGAAATGAATGATAAACATGATAATTGTGATTCCTGTCCTTTTTCAGCTTGCAGTCTGGTAAGATACCAAGACAAGTAAGCAGACAGTTACATGGCAGCATGATATGTGCTTTAAGCAGAGAAATACCAGGTAGCTGCAGGAGCACATAGAAGGGCAGCTTAGGGCAGTGGGGCTGGGTTGGGAGGATTCAATCAAAAAACAAAAGGCACTTAATATTGTGTCGGACACTTAGAAAATATTTAATAAACATTAACCAGTATTATTTCCCCCATGGAAATAATAATAATAATCCCTAAAAGGAATTAATACTATTTCAAACTTTTGTTTTATGTATCTCTTGGGTATGGATTCTTGGGAAGTAGATTATACCCCACTTACCCTACCTTCCAAAAAAGTGCTACCTGAGGCAATGGTTGCTGAAAGTCTTAATGAGATGGATTTCTTCCCAGATGTTTCCGGACGATGGCCTGGTGGTTTACAGAGAGGAGAGACTGAATGATCTCTACTGTTTTCATTAAGAAGAAGCAGCACAGTGATGTGGACTTAGCACTAAATAGAAATTAGAAGGCCCAGGCTGGGCACGGTGGCTCATGCCTGTTATCCCAGCACTTTGGGAGGCTGAGGCAGGTCAATCACCTGAGGTCAGGAGTTCAAGACCAGCCTGGCCAACATGGCGAAACCCCATCTCTACTAAAAAAAATACAAAAATTAGCCAGGCGTGGTGGCACACGCCTGTAATCCTAGCTACTCGGGAGGCTGAGGCAGGAGAATTGCTTGAACCTGGGAGGCGGAGGTTGCAGTGAGCCAAGATAGTGCCACTGCACTCCAGCCTGGGCAACAGAGTGATACTCTGTCTCAAAAAAAATAAATAAATAAATTAGGAGGCCTGGATTGTAATCCTGATCAGGCCATTTAGTTCTGGTCCTACGTGACAACCAATTAATCAATGAGAAAGTTGTACTAGAAGTACTTCCTAAGATCTCTTCCAGCTCTAACGTTCTATAGAGTTCCAAAATAATTACATTGTTCTCCATGGACTAAAAATTTGGAGTACATCACCCATGGGGAGAAGTAGTGACCAATATTTACTGTACATTTACTATCCTCCAGGTGCTGTTGTGTGCATTTTTCATGTATTGACTAAGCCTCATAATAACCCTATGAGATGGACAATGTTTTTATCATTATTCCCACTTAACAGATGAAAAAACCTCAAATGAGGCAAAGGAGTCCAGTGGACTAGCTGGAATACAAATCCCAGAGCCAGTGCCCTTAACCAGCATACCATTCCAGTCTCTCAGTGCAGAAACTCCTCTAAAGTTTAAAGGAGAAACTAGAAAGCTGTCATTGGGAGTGGTTCTTGTGCTCTTCTGCCTGAAACAAAAATGGATAACTTTGTCAAGTCTCTGGAATAAAAATTTGGCACTAACACATATGAAGTGTGTTTACCTCCCACACAGTGTTCTACTCACATTCACAACAGCCTATGGGATACATGTTTTTGTTAGCCATAGTTTGCATTTATGAAAATGGTAAGTGGCTGAACAAGAATTCTAATGCAGGTCTGTTTGACTGAGACAATCAGTATTTAGCCACTATGTTCTATGTCTCAGGTACAGTGTTCCCTGTTTCAGAGGCTTGGCTGCCAGCTCTGATGCTTGACCTTTTGTTATTTAGGTTTCATCAGCTAGGAGGGGGTGGATAATACTTTTCAGATGTCTTTAGCTTACATTCATTAAAACAATTTTTGGATGAAGGGATTGAAAATTCTGATTGAATGCTGTGTTTAGAAATGGTTGCTTTTCTTTTTTAAAAAATTAATGTTATAGGGTAAGAGTTGCTGATGTGGGAGACTTTACTTTGCAGATAACTGGCATAAATTAAGTGGCTATACAGGTGACACTTTAGGAAATTGGACTGCCTTCAGATGTTCCATGTTGGCACAGGTGGGAGTGTTAGTGGTGCTGGGGAATGGATGTTTTTAGTAACAAGGTAAACATTGTACCTTTTAAACATCTTTTTGAGAGGGAAACAAAAGGCCCAAGTTTTCCAGATCTGAAGTTGGTGTTCCCATTCTGCTTTGGTGAAGCTGCATTCGTTTGTTCATTTAATGTTTGCTAGAGAGACAGTAAAGTGTAGTGAATGGTTGTTAACTACAGACCCTGGAACCCAACCACCTAGATTCTAGTCCCAGCTCTGCCACTTAGTGGCAACATAACCTTGGGCAAGCTGTTTCAGTTCAGCTTCCTTATTTATAAAGGGATAATTAGAGTTTCTACCTCATAAAGTTGTTGTGAAGATTAAATAAGTTAACACATATAAAAGCATTTAAGTACCTGGCACATAATAAATTTCATGTGTTAGTCATTAATATTGTTACTATAATATAATTATTACATAAAATAAGCACTTAGGCTGGGTGCAGTGGCTCACGCCTATAATCCTAGCAGTTTGGGAGGCCAAGGCGGGCAGATTGCTTGAGGCCAGGAGTTCAAAACCAGCATGGGCAACATAGCAAGATCCTATCTCTACCAAAAAAAAAAAAATGCAATTGCTTAATAAGTGGTGGTGGTGATTATTACTATTATAAAAAATTCCAATGTAAATTTTAATATGAATTCTCAAGGAAATTTTGTACATGCAGTAGACTATTTTGTTGTTGTTGTTGAGACAGTCTTGCTCTGTTGCCTAGGCTGGAGTGCAGTGACGCAATCTCAGCTCACTGCAACCTTCCCCTCCTGGGTTCAAGCGATTCTCTTGCCTCAGCCTCCCAAGTAGTTGGGATTACAGGCACCTGCCACCATGCCTGGCTAATTTTTGTAGAGTAGAGACGGGGTTTCACTGTGTTGATCAGGCTGGTCTCAAACTCCTGACCTTGTGATCCACCCGCCTCAGCCTCCCAAAGGCTTGAGCCACCACGCCCAGCCACAGTGGACTATTTTCACGTTATACCTCTAGACTTACTCTAGGGATATTGCAGCAGAACAGCTTGGGAAGTACTGGGGTATTAGAAAAGAATGCTAATTAGGAGTCAGGAGACTTAAATTTTGGTTGTGGTCTACCTTGGAGTGTTGGATAACTTCTTTTCTAGGCCTCAGTAAAATAAGAGGGTTAGACTAAATCTCTAGTGTTGTGACTCTTTAAATTTATTAAAGTTAAATAAAAGTAAAAGTTGAGCTCAGCTGGATTGTCTACATTTCAATTGTTCTGTAGCCACATGTGGCTAGTGACTACCATATTGAACAGCTCATTGCAGTAAGTTCTACTTTACAGTGCTGTTCTAGGTCTCTATTAGTAATAACCTTACGTGATTGTAAGGTTTGACACCTAGCTTCTGAGTGGCCTAGGTACATGGAGAATTTATTTTAATTAATTAATTAATTATTATTTTTTTGAGACAGAGTCTCACTCTGTCACTCAGGCTGGAGTGCAGTGGCCCCATCTTGGCTCACTGCAACCCCTGCCTCCTGGGTTTAAGCGATTCTCCCACCTCAGCCTCCCAGATAGCTGGGATTATAGGTGTGCGCCACCACACCCAGCTAATTTTTAAATTTTTGGTAGAGATGGGGTTGGCCAGGCTGGTCTTGAACTCCTGAACTCAAGTGATCTGCCTGCCTCAGCCTCCCAAAGTAATGGGATTACAGGCATGAGCCACTGTGCCTGGCTGAGAAATTTTATTTAACCTTATATTAATCTAGCTTCCTTGACTCTATCTTGTTTGGCATTGGACTTCTGTAAGTCCTTCTGTTTTAGGCATGCTTTTTTTTTTTTTTTTTTAAAGAAAAGAAACAGGGTCACCCTCTGTTGCCCGAGCTAGAGTGCAGTGGTGCCATCATAGCTCACTGTATCCTCGAACTCCTGGCCTCAAGCAATCCTCTGACATCAGCCTCCTGAGTAGCTGGGACTATAGGCACATGCCACTGCATCCAGCTAATTTTTAAATTTTTTTGTAGAGGTGAGGTTTCTCTATGTTGCCCAGACTGGCCTCGAACTTCTAGCCTCAAGTGATCCTCCTGCCTTGGCCTCCCAAAATGCTGGGATTATAGGTGTGAGCCACCACAACTGGCTAGGTATGCTTTTATAAGCATCGTAGAGGTACTTTTTTCTTAAACCAAGTCTGACAATTTTTGTCTTTTCACTTTAATTGGCAAGTTTAGTCCACTTATATTTGTTGTGATTATTGACAGAACAGCTCTTGTTTCTGTTATCCAGTTTCTACTGTTTTTTTCTGTGCTTTTTTTTCTTTTTGCCCTTTCTTTGGGGGTTGAATATTTGCTTGTTCTTATTTTATCTCCTTTATTAGTTTGGAAGTTGGCATTCTAGTTCTTTTCTTTTAGTAGTAACTCTTGAAATTTTACTTGCATACTTAACAAAATCTAACACTATTATACCCCCAGTGGTAAGAGGGACTTTAGAACATTTAATTTCAATCACCCACTCTTCACTTATAAGGAGTTGTCTCATATTTAGTTCTAATTTTAATTTTTTTTTGAAACTTAGTTATTTATTTTTTAGAGATAGAGTCTCATCCTGTTGCCCAGACTGGCCTCAAACTCCGGGGCTCAAGCAATCCTCCTGACTCAACCTCCAGAGTAGCTGGGACTACAGGTGCACATTGTGCCTGGCTTAGTTCTCTCTCTCTTTCTTTTTTAACTCTACAAATCGGGCATTATAAATTGCTATACAGACAATATTTACATATTTATCTACATGTTTGCTGGTTTATTTGCTCACTATTCTTTGTATCTAGGCCTTCCTCTGGGATCATTTCCTACCTGAAATATGTCCTTTAGCTATCCTTTTTATTTTCTCTGATTCTCTCCTAGGGGACTATTTCATACTTCTTCCTGTCTTTTCAAATCTCCAATACTTCTTCCATAGTCCTTGCTCTCAGTTAGTAATTATAGTCCCTCTTTACCAGAAGACAGAAGGAATCGGAAGAGGCCTTTCAAAAATTTTCACTACTGCATTTACCCACTAGTGTTCATACATGCTCCCTTTCCTGTTGTTACCTGATAAACCATCATTATTCCTAGCAAAGGCTAATCCCTCTACTTGAGTGCTAAATCCCGTCTCCTCTCACCGACTCACCAATATTTTACCAGTGACTCTCCCTTCTAATGTTGTATTACCCCTTTTTCCTATCTTTATTGTATCATTTCTATCAGCTTTCAGTTGTCCCTGGTACAGCAAAATTCTTTTCTTTTAGAGACAGAGTCTCACTCTGTTACCCAGGCTGGAGTGCAGTGGCATGATCTTGGCTTACTGCAACCTTCGCCTCCCAAGTTCAAGCAATTCTCATGCTTCAGCTTCCTGAGTAGCTGGAATTACAGGTGTGTGCCACCATACCCGGCTAATATATATATATATATATATATATATATTTTTTTTTTTTTTAGTAGAGATGGGGTTTCACCATGTTGGCCAGGATGGTCTTGATCTCTTGACCTCGTGATCCGCCTGCCTTGGCCTCCCAAAGTGCTGGGATTACAGGCGTGAGCCACCGCGCCTGGCCTAATTTTTGTATTTTTAGTAGAGATGGGGTTTCACCATGTTAGGTTAGACCAGGCTGGTCTCGAACTCCTGACCTCAAGTGATCTGCCTGCCTTGGCCTCCAAAAGTGCTGGGATTACAGGCGTGAGCCACGACACCCAGTCAAAAATTTTTTGAAAGAGTTGTATGTATTCGATCTAATTTTTCTCCTTGGACTGTCTTGGTCATGCTCTAATCATGCTTTCATCCTCACTGTAAATGGCAGCTCCATCCTTCTACTTGTCCAGGCCAAAAACCTTAGAGTGATCCTTGACTTCTCTTTTTGCTCTCATATCCCATATCCATAGCAAAATCCTGCTAACTTTGCCTTTGAAATATATCCAGAACCTATTGGTATCTTACCCCTCTACCACCCCAGCTGGTCCAGTCCACTATCATCTCTTGCCTGGATTATTGTAGTAGCCCCTTTATTAGTCTCCTTGCTTTTGCCTTGCTCCCCTGTATTAGTTTGCTAAGGCTACAGTAAGAAAGTACCACAAACTGTGTCTTTTTTTTTTTCGAGACAGAATCTTGCTCTGTCACCCAGGCTGGAGTGCAGTGGGGCAATCACAGCTCACTACAGGCTCAATCGATCCTCCTGCCCCTGCCTCCCAAGTAGCTAGGACTATAGGCATGCACCACCACACCTGGCTAATTTTTCTATTTTTTATAGAGATGGGGTCTCACTATGTTGCCCAGGCTAGTCTCAAACTCCTGGGCTCAAATGATCCTCTCACCTCGGCCTCCCAGAGTGCTGGGATTACAGGCATGAGCCACCATCCACAGCCCAAACTGTGTCTTAACAGAAATTTATTGTCTCACAGTTCTGGAGGCTAGGAGTCCAAAATCACAGTGTCAGCAGGATTGTTTTTTCTGAGGGCTGTGAGGGAAGGATGGAAAAATCACTCAGCTTATCTAAAAATGTCTATTTTGCTCTTACTTTTGAAAGATAGTTTGTTACAATTGACGAACCAATATTGATACATTATTATTAACCAAAGTCCCTAGTTTACATTCGGGTTCATTCTTGGTGTTGTACATTCTATGTGTTTTGACAAATGTATAATAACATATGTATTCGTTTGCTAGGACTGCCATAACAAATACACAGACTAACCGGCTTAAACAATAGAAGTTTATTTTCTTACAGTTCTGGAGGCTAGAAGTCCAATATGAAGGTCTTGGTAGGGTTGGTTTCTTCTTGTGGATGGCTGTCTTCTATGTCTTCACATGATCTTCCCTTTAAGTTTGTCTGTGTCCTAATCTCCTCTTCTCATAAGGATAAGGGCCCACCGCAATGACCTCATTTTACCTCAGCTACCTCTTTAAAGACTTTAAGATATGAACTTTGGAGTGGGGTGGGGGACACAATTGAGGCCATTAACAGTATGTATCCACCATTACAGTTTCATATAGAATAGTTTCACTGTTACAAAAATATCCTGAGCTCCACTTATTCATCTCTCTCCCCCAGAATCCCTGTTAACCACTGATCTGTTACTATCTCCATAATTTTGCTTTTTCCAATGTCATGTAATTGGAATTATGTAGTATATAGCCTTTTCAAATTGCTCTTTCCACTTAGTATATGTTTAAGGTTCTTCAATGTCTTTTCGTGGCTTGATTACTCCTTTCCTTTTATCACTGCATATTCATTCACTTTGTATTTCAACAAAACTGTATTTTTAATTTCTAGAAGTTCTGTTTGATGACTTCACAGATTTGACTTTCTTTTTTTTTTTTTGAGACAGAGTCTTGCTCTGTCACCCAGGCTGGAGTGTGGTGGCGTGATCTCAACTCACTGTAAACTCTGCCTGCCAGGTTCAAGCAATTCTCCTACTTCAGCCTCCCAAGTAGCTGGGACTATTGGCTTGCACCACGGCACCTGGCTAACTTTTTTGTATTGTAGTAGAGACAGGGTTTCACCATGTTGCCCAGGATGGTCTCGAACTCCTGAGCTCAGGCAATCCATCCACGTCGGCCTCCCAAAGTGCTAGGATTACAGACATGAGCCACCACACCTGGCCAGATTTGACTATTTATTTTGCATGCTGCATGCCTGTTTTTGTGATTCCATGTGTTATTTCTTTAAACATTTCATGCATAGCTATTTCTGTATTTTGTGGCTGATAATTCTAATATCTGAATTCCTCAGGGATCAAAATCTGTTTGTTGCTTGTGTTCTTGTGGCGACTTCTTTTCTCACATTTTTGGTGATCCATGATTGTGAGCTCATAATGGTTGTTCTTCTTCATTGGCTATCCTGGAAGCCTAAAGTGGAGAATCTTTTCCTCCAGAAAGTTTTGGCATTTGATTCATCTGAAAACCAGGGGGTACCACTCACGTGGAATCACTTTAGTCTCTTTTGAGGGTTGTGTTAATGTGGGAGTTTCAGATTCATCTCCATTTTGCCACATCATAATGGACGCTTGCGTTCAGGGCAGCCTCACTTGCTTGTTGCTCATAGGTTTTAGCTTGCTTTGTGTTTATGGAGGGTTCTGTCATTACTGAGTCTAGTGAGCACATTCTGAAAGTCCATTTTATCTAGGATTTCATTGTTTTGTAGGTGTATATCCCTTCAGACTGTCTGGTTGGGCATCTTGCCAAAGCAGGATTCAGTTGCCTGAGTTTAGATATTGACCAATAGAGTGATGGTGATCATGTTAGACACCTTGCAGTTCTCCTGGGCATCCTCTCAATTTCATTCTCAATCACTCACTCTTCAGAGTCAAATCTTGAGCCTTAGGCAAGTGACAGCATCCCATGCTGTTGGGAATGAAAAGTGAGGATGGTTAGTTTCGATACTGCCTGCATGTGCTCATCTGGATGACCTTTTGTTTCCCTGTGGTAGCACTGATGAAAATTAGATTTGAATTTATTTCTGAGAAAGAAAAATCTGAAAGATGAGTGTAGTAAACCAGAATGGCACACGATTGCAATTTAAATCTCAGCTTGGCCATTTAGCAGTTATGTGACCAGTACAGGTGATGTAACTTCTCTGAGCCTCAGAAGTCTCAATCGTATAGAATAACAAAAGCTACTACTTACTGATCATTTATAATATGCTAAGCACTATGCTAAGTTTTTTGCATATATTTCTTATTTAATATTCAGTAACCTTATGAGATATAATTATTTTATGCCTCTTTTAAAGATGAGAAAACAAGCATACAGAGATTAAGTAAAACTGGGTTATTAATAAGGCCAAATTTAAATGAGATAACACATGTGGTATGTCAGGCACATATAAGGTGGTCAGTAAACAGCAGCTAGCATTATGATCACTAATAATTTTTGGATATAAAATTCTTTTTGTGATATGATCTAAATAAGATTCATTTGCTCAACAAATATTTTATGGAGCACTTACTGTGGCCATGTGTACTGCTAAATGCTAAGGAAACAGAGAGGAATAAGAAAGATATGGTCCAGAGATGGACACATAAACATTTACAAGTCAGCCTGGGGAGTGCTGTGATGGGGTAAGAATAGGGTGCTTTGGGAGTCAGGGAAGATATACCAGAAGAAATGCCCTCTAGGCTTATACCTGAAGAATGAGTTGGAGGTGAGGGACGGAAGGAATTGCACAGGTAGTAGTGATTGTGAAAGCCTGGAGGGGAGAGAGTGCGTGCTACTCTCATTTAAAGAAGTGAAAGGGCCGGGTGCGGTGGCTCATGCCTGTAATCCCAGCACTTTGGAAGGCTGAGGAGGCTGGCAGATCACCTGAGCTCAGGAGTTCGAGACCAGGCTGGCCAACATGGCGAAACCCTCTCTCTACTAAAAATACAAAAATTACAGTCCGGGCACAGTGGCTCATGCCTGTAATCCCAGCAGTTTGGGAGGCTGAGGCGGGCAGATCACCTGAGGTCGGGAGTTCAAGACCAGCCTGACCAATATGGAGAAACCCTGTCTTTACAAAAAATACAGAATTAGCCAGGCTTGGTGGCACATGCCTGTAATCCCAGCTACTTGGGAGACTGAGGCAGGAGAATCGCTTGAACCCAGGAGGTGGAGGTTGCGGTGAGCCGAGATCATGCCATTGCACTCCAGCCTGGGCAACAAGAGCAAAACTCCATCTCCAAAAAAAAAAATTAGCCAGTCGTGGTGGCAGGCGCTTGTAATTCCAGCTACTCAGGAGGCTGAGGCAAAAGAATCGCTTGAACCTGGGAGGTGGAGGTTGCAGTGAGCCAAGATCATACCACTTTATTCTAGCCTGGGTGACAGAGAGACTCTATCTCAAAAAAAAAAAAAAAAGTGAAAGTATAGTATAGGGTGTATATATAAGATTTTAGGAAAAATGTGGAAAGTGAGGCTGGAGAGGTGGGCAGGTGCCATATTCTGAAAGGCTTTGTAAACCCTACTGCAAGAGTTGGACCTTTATCTTTAGGGCATTGGAAAGCCTTTGAAAGTTTTTTTGTTTTTGTTTTTTGTTTTTTTCCTGGAGTAACATGATTTAGAAAGACCATTCTGTGCTATTCTACAAAACATGTTCAAGAGTTTCAAAAAATAAAATAGGAAGATTACTCTGGGTGAATTGTGGGAATAATAATAACAATAGCTTTAAATACTTACTTCATTTAATCCTTATACTAACACTTGGAGGTAGGTCTTATTGTCTTGCTTTTACAGATGAAGGAGGAAAATAAGAAAGAAATTGGGACTTGGAGAGCTTACTTCACTCACAAGAATTCACACACGTAATAGGAAGTGGAGTCATGGACCTAGGTCTTTCTGAATCTAAAGCTGTATTGCTGAATCACCTTCAATTGGTTATGATTTGTTATGACCTGCTTTATGTTTACTCTGTGGGAAATTCTCGTTCATTCTTACAGTATTATTAGCATATTCCGTGATAGTTTACAAAGCATTTAACGTCATTTTTAAATTTAGCCTCCTTTGAAACTGTGAATTAGGTGGTGGTGTCTCCATTTTGCAGGTATGAAAACTGAGGCTTGAGGTATGGTCCCATACACCTAGAAGGTGGTGGAGCTGGGACTTGAACACCAAGCTCTTGACAGAAGAAAACCTTCTTAGTGGGTATCTTGTGAACATGCACACTTCCTTCTTGGGACTGTGCCCTTTGTTCATTATGTGAATGCTTATAAAGTTCTTTCCTTCCAGGTTTTGGAGATCATATTCATTGGAGGACACTGGAAGATGGGAAGAAAGAAGCAGCTGCCAGGTACAAGACATGGTTTTAGGTCATTTATGGTGGTAAAACACTTTTCAGCTATCAACTTAACGTTAATTTCAGGTGAAGGGCTATACCAAGGCAGAGCAAGAACTGAATAGTTGCCTAATTACAACAACAGCAATAATAATGGCTAACATTTATAGTTGAGCCTTGAACAACATGGGTTTTTTTTCTTTTTTTTTTTTTCTTTTTGAGATGGAGTCTCACTCTCTCGCCCAGGCTGGAGTGCAGTGGCACGATCTCGGCTCACTGCAAGCTCCACCTCCTGGGCTCACGCCATTCTCCTGCCTCAGCCTCCCGAGTAGCTGGGACTACAGGCACCCGCCACCACGCCTGGCTAATTTTTTTGTATTTTTAGTAGAGACGGGGTTTCACCGTGTTAGCCAGGATGGTCTCAATCTCCTGATCTCATGATCCACCCGCCTCGGCCTCCCAAAGTGCTGGGATTACAGGCGTGAGCCACCGCGCCCGGCCTTTTTTTTTCTTTTTTGAGACAGAGTCTTGCTTTGTCACCCAGGCGGGAGTGCAGTGGTGCGATCTTCATTCATTGCAACCTCCACCTCCCAGGTTCAAGCAATTCTTGTCAAGCCTCAGCCTCCCACGTAGCTGAGATTACAGGCATGTGCCACCATTGCCGGCTAATTTTTGTAGTTTTTAGTAGAGACGGGGTTTCACCATGTTGGCCAGGCTGGTCTTGAGCTCCCAACCTCAGGCGATCCACCTGCCTCGGCCTCCCAAAGTGCTGGGATTACAGATGTGAGCCACCACGCCCGGCCAAACAACATGGGTTTGAACTGCACAGGTCCACTTATATGTGGATTTTTTTCAGTAATAAATGCATTGGAAACTGTTTTGGAGATTTCAAGCAGTTTCAAAAAACTTGCAGATGAACAGCATAGCCTAGAAATATCAAAAAACTTAAAAAATTGGTATGTTACAAGTGTAAAAATATATGTAGGTATTAGTCTATATTATCATTTACTACCATAAAACATACAGAAATCTACAAGTTAAAATTTATCAAAACTTCTGCACACTGGCTGGGTGCGGTGGCTCATGCCTGTAATCCCAGCACTTTGGTAGGTTGAGGCGGGCAGATCACTTGAGCCCAGGAGGTTGAGACCAATCTGGGCAACATGGTGAAACCCCTTCTCTACAAAAAATACCAGTTACTTGAGGGGGCTGAGGTGGGAGGATCAATTGAGCCTGGGAGTTTGAGGCTGCAGTGAGCTAAGACCATGCCACTGTACTGCAGCCTGGAAACAGAGTGAGACCCTGTCTAAAAAGCTTCTGGCCAGGCATGGTGGCTCACGCTTGTAATCTCAGCACTTTGGGAGGCTGAGGCGGGCAGATTACCTGAGGTCGGGAGTTCAAGACCACCCTGGCCAACATGGTAAAACCCCGTCTCTACTAAAAATACAAAAATTACCTGGGCATGGTGGTGTGCACCTGTAGTCTCAGCTACTAGGGGAGGCTGAAGCAAGAGAATCACTTGAACCCGGGAGGTGGAGGTTGCAGTGCGCTGAGATTGCACCACTGTACTCCAGCCTGGGAGACAAAGCGAGACTCTGTCTTAAAAAACAAAAATAAAAAATAAAAATAAAAATAAAAAAATAAAAAACTTCTGCACACAAACACCTATAGACCACACATGCTGCCATTTGCAGAAGGGAGAAATGTAAACAAATGTAAAGATGCCATATTAAATCATAACTGCATAAAAATTAACTGTAGTATATAACATTACTAATAATTTTGTGGCCACCTCCTGTTGCTATGGAGGTGAACTCAAGTATTGTGAGTATCCACTTAAAATGCCGTGCAACATTAATCATCTTCAGTGAGCAGTACGTCTCTCCAGTGTATTGCGTATCGCAGTATAACGTAGTTTCTCAGCTGGGCGCGGTGGCTCACACCTGTAATCCCAGCACTTTAGGAGGCCGAGGTGGGTGGATCACTTGAGGTCAGGAGTTCGAGACCAGCCTAGCCAACATGGTGAAACCCTGTCTCTACTAAAAATACAAAAAACTTAGCTGGGCATGGTGGGCGCATGCCTGTAATCCCAGCTACTTGGGAGGCTGAGGCAGGAGAATCGCTTGAACCTGGGAGACGGAGTTGCAGTAAGCCAAGATCACGCCATTGCACTCCAGCCTGGGAGACAGAGCGAGACTTGGTCTCAAAAAAAAAAAAATTAATCTCTTACAACTCTTGCATATTTTTCCTGGTATTTAGTACAATATCATAAACCTAGAATAACACCATGAAACCCATACAAGGTGCCATTGGTGATGCTGGAAGTGTTCCCAAGAAGCAGAGAATGCTCATGACATTACAAGAAAAAATTGAATTGCTTGATATGTACTGTAGACTGAGGTCTACACAGGTAGTTGCTTGTCGTTTCAAGATAAATGAACCCTTTTTTTTTTTTTTTTTTTTGAGACGGTGTCTTGCTCTGGCCTGGCCAGATGAATCCATTTTGAGAGTCTGAGGCAGGAGGACTGATTGAGCCCAGTAGATTGAGACCAGCCTGGGCAACAAAGTAAGACCCTGTCTCTACAAAAAAAAATTTTTTTAAAGATAAATCCAGCGTAAGGACCAATTGCGTAAAAAAAAAAAAAAAACAGAAAAAGAAAAAAAAAAGAAAATTCATGAAGTTGTCACTGTAGCTATGCCAACAGGTGCAAAAACCTTGCACTTTTTGCCAAATGCCTTTTTATGTGCATAATATGTAGCTTTTACATGGGTACTATAAAAAGGCATACCTATTGACTCTAATATGATTTGAGAAAAAGCAAAGTCATTATATGGCAACTTAAAGCAAAAAGAAGGTGAAGGATCTAAAGCTGGAGTATTTAATGACAACAAATGATGGTTTGCTGATTTTAGAAAGAGGTTTGGCTTAAAAAATGTCAAGACAGGCTGGGCGCAGTGTTGCCCGTAATCCCAGCACTTTGGCAGTCCAAGGCGGGTGGATCATTTGAGGTCAAGAGTTTATGACCAGCCTGGCCAACATGGTGAAACCCCGTCTCTACAAAAAATACAAAAACTAGCTAGGTGGTAGTGGTCCATGCCTATAATCCCAGCTACTTGGGAGGCTGAGGCAGGAGAATCGCTTGAGCCTGGGAGGCGGAGGTTGCATGAGCCGAGATCCCCCCACTGCACTCCAGCCTGGGTGACAGAGTGAGACCCTGTCTCAAAAAAAAAAAAAACAAGATACAGGAGAAGCAGCTTATGCTGACCAAGAGGCAGCAGATGAATTCTCAGACACCGTTAAGAAAATCATTGAAGAGAAAGGATATCTGCCTGAACAGGTGTTTAATGCAGATTAAGGTACCCTACTCTGGAAAAAAAAAGCCACAAAGGACATTAATAGTAAGGAAGACCAACCTGGGCAACATGGGAAACTCTGTCTCTACAAAAAGTACAAAAATTAGCTGGGTGTGGTGGCACACACCTGTTGTTCCTGCTACTCAGGAGTCTGAGGTGGGAGGATTGCTTGAGCCTGGAAGATTGAGGCTGCAGTTAGCCATGAGTGCACCACTGAACTGTAGCCTGGGCAACAGAATAAGACCCTATTTCAGTTTTTAAAAAGGAAAAAAAAAAATAGGAAGAGAAGCAAGTACCAACATTGAAGGCAAGAAGAGACAGGCTAACTCTACTCTTTTGTGCAAAAAAACCCAGCACTTTGGGAGGCAGAGGTGGGACGATTACCAGAGCCCAGGAGTTTGAGTCAAGTTTGTCATCAGAACTGCCCTTGTCTATAAAGCTGTTAACCTCCAGCCTCGAAGAGCAAAGATAAACACCAGCTGCCAGTGTTTAGGTTGTGCAATAAGAAGGCTTAGACAACAAGAACCCTTTTTCTGGATTGGTTCCATCAATGCTTTGTCCCTGAAGTCAGGAAGTACCTTGCCAGTAAGAGACTACCTTTTAAAGTTCTTTTGATGTTGGACAATACTCTGGCCACCCAGAGCCCCATGAGTTCAGCACCAAAGGCAAATTAAAAAGTCTATTTGCGGCTGGGCCCAGTGGCTCATGCCTGTAATCCCAGCACTTGGGAGGCCGAGGTCGGGGGATCACCTGAAGTTGGGAGTTCCAGACCAGCCTGACCAACACGGAGAAACCCAGTCTCTACTAAAAATACAAAATTCGCCGGGCGTGGTGGCACATGCCTGTAATCCCAGCTAATCAGGAGGCTGAGGCAGGAGAATTGCTTGAACCTGGGAGGTGGAGGTTGCAGTGAGCTGAGATCGTGCCATTGCATTCCAGCCTAGGCAACAAGAGTGAAATTCTGTCTCAAAAAAAAAAAAAAAAAAAAAAGGTGGTCTATTTGCCTCCAAACACAATATTTAAATCAGCTACTACATCAGGGGGTGATAAGGACCTTTAAGGTTCATTACACACAGTACTCTCTAGAAAACAGATTGTCAAAGCTATGGAAGAGAACTGCAATAAAGAGAACATCATGAAAGTTTAGGAGGATTATATCGTTGAAGATGCCATTGTCGTTATAGAAATAGCTGTGAAGACCATCAAGCCTGAAACAATAAATTCCTGCTGGATAAAACTGTGTCCAGATGTACACAAGACTTCACAGGGTTTATGACAGATAATCAAAATCATGAAAGAGATTGTGGATATGGCAAAAAAAGGTGAGGGGTAAAGGGTTTTAAGATATGATCTTGGATAAATTCAAGAGCTAATAGACACCAAACCAGAGGAATGAACAGAAGATAACTTGATGGAGATGAGTGCCAGATGATGAGGAAAAACACGTAGAAGAGGCAGTGCCAGAAAACAGATCTGGCAGAAGGTTCTAATTATTTAGAGCTGCTTTTGACTTATTTTACAACATGGACCCTTCTAAGATATGTGCCCTGAAACTAAAGCAAAGAAAAAAGATTGGTATTGTATAGAAACATTTTTAGAGAAATGAAAAAGCAACAAAATCAGACAGAAATTATATTTCCATAAAGTTACACCAAGTGTGCCTGCCTGTTCTACCTCCCCTTCCACCCTCTTCTGCCTCTGCCATCCTGAGACAGCAAGACCAACCTCTCCTCTTCCTCTTCCTCCTCCTCCTCAGCCTACTCAGTGTGAAGACAAGGATGAAGACCTTTATGAGTATCCATTTCCACTTAATGAATACTAAATATATTTTTGCTTCTTTATGATTTTCTTTTTCTTCTTTTTTGCCCCCCTGCTTCCTGGAAAGATTTTCTTAATAACATTTTCTTTTCTCTAGTTTACTTTATTGTAAGAATACAATATATAATATTACATTCAAAATATGTGTTAACTGAATATATTATTAGTAAGGCTTCCAGTCAACAGTAGGCTATTAATAGTTAAGTTTTAGGGAGTCAAAAGGTATATGCTGATTTTTGATGGTGTCAGGGGTCAGTGCCCCTCATCCTGGGGTTGTTCAAGGGTCAGCTGTACTAAGTGCTACTGTGCATTAGGCATTAAATTATGCAAATCAACTCATTTAACTCTCACAACAACTTTTTGAGATTGGTATTATTGTTATCTTAATTTTAGAGATGAAAAAAGTAAGGCACCGTTTTTTCTAAGTTTACTAAAATAACTTGCCCAAGAGCACACAGCTAGCAAGTGGCAGACCCAAGCACTCTGGCTTCAGAGCCTGCTCTTTAAACCTGTATACCATACTGCCTGCTAGAATCAAGTTGAATAGTCTGTAAAGTCTCAAGTAGGTTTAGTTTATGCACAGACAATTCAGTGCATAAGGAGGAGGAAAAGGCAGGGCAGGGGAGGGAAAGCTAAGCACTGGTCTGTGTTTACTTTTTTTTTGTTTGAGACAGAGTTTCGCTCTTATTGCCCAGGCTGGAGTGCAGTGGTGCGATCTAGGCTCACTGCAACCTCCGCATCCCGGGTTCAAGCAATTCTCCTGCCTCAGCCTCCTCAGTAATGGGATTACAGGCACACGCTACCCCACCCGACTAATTTTTTAAAAAGTATTTTTAGTAGAGACAGGGTTTCACCATGTTGGCCAGACTGGTCTCGAGCTCCTGACCTCAGGTGATCTACCCTCTGCCTCCCAAAGTGCTGGGATTACAGGCGCGAGCCACCATGCCGGGCCTGTGTTTACATTTATTTAACCCTCACAACAACCTACAGATTGGTAAACCTGTGAAATAGCAGTTGTTATTTTATAGAAGGGGAAATTGAAGTACAGAAAAGTTACATAATTTGCCAGTAGTTACAACACTAGTAAGTGGAGGAGCCAAGACTTGAATGTTTTTTACTATACTGTACAAGAGAGATACAAAGACCCCAGTATATGTGCATCTACAATATACACACATGCACAGGCACACTCACATTTCTGCACCTACCATCCTATAGTGCTTGCTGTTTATACAAGAGATCCAACAGTTTCATGGCTCTGGGTCTCAAACCTACAATAATAGAGTTGCCAGATTGAGCAAATAAAAATAACGGATGGCCAGGCACAGTGGCTCATGCCTTTAACCCCAGCACTTTGGGAAGCCAAGGCCAGTGGATCACCTGGGGTCAGGAGTTTGAGACCAGCCTGGCCAACATAGTGAAACCCCGTCTCTACTAAAAATACAAAAATTAGCCAGATATGGTGGCGCACACCCATAGTCCCAGCTACTTGGGAGGCTGAGACAGGAGAATCGCTTGAACTCAGGAGGTGGAGGTTGCAGGGAGCTGAGATCATACCACTGTGGTCCAGGCTGGGTGACAGAGCGAGGCTCCATCTCAAAAAATAATAATAATAAAATAAAATAAAGGATGCAGGCCAGGCACCTTGGCTCACACACCTGTATTCCCAGTACTTTGGGAGGCAGAGGTGGCACAATTACTTGAGCCCAGGAGTTTGAGACCAGCCTTAGCAACATACAACCTCATCTCTAAAAAAGAAAAAATAAATAATAATAATAAATTAAAGATGCCCAGTTAAATTTGAAGTTTAGATAAGCACCAAATAATTTTAAATATGTCTATGCAATATTTGGGACACACTTAAGCTTAAAAATGTTTTTGGTGTTTATCTGAAATTCAAATGTAACTGGGCATCCTGTATTTTATCTGGCAACCCTACTAAGGAGAAAAATTCCTATTTGTCTTTCAAGTTCTAAGTCAAATGACTATTTCTACATAAAGTCTTCAGTGATTTCTCTGGGTAGTTTGTTTTTCCCTTCTGTTCTTTTATAACCTCACCTGCATCTATCCATTATAGTATTTATTACTCTGATTGTAGGCGCCTGATCCTTCCCATTCAGACCTTTTATCTTTTGTGGGGAAAGCGTTTTATGTTCATCTCTGAATTCCCAACCTTGGAGATGTTGAATGATTGAAATGGTAATTGAATAAACATTTACTGAGAGCCAGTAGGTTTAAGAGGAGGAATGAAGGAGAACCAGCATTTATTAATTGCCTTCTATATGCTAAATATAGTGCTGATTGCTTACAATATTTAATGCCCCTTAGGCCTTATTAATAAAATGGACGGGCAGTCTTTCGCTGCAGGAAGATCACATTCTCCTGAGGCCTATAACATTTGGCATAAATAACTGATGCCATTATAGTCTCTGTATCTCCTTTCTGAGAAAGCTGAACCTGGGCCTAGCTGGCGTAGAACTCCTGTTTCCATAGAAACAAGAGGGTCTGTAAAAGTCAAGGGAGACAGGAAGAGCAGTTTGCACTTCCGGCTTACGTCGGAGACGCGTACAACCCGGAAGTTGGCGCAGCGCGGTTGCCAATGGTCGCTCCCTGAGAGGATGCCGCTCGTGGTGTTTTGCGGGCTGCCGTACAGCGGCAAGAGCCGGCGTGCTGAAGAGTTGCGCGTGGCGCTGGCTGCCGAGGGCCGCGCGGTGTACGTGGTGGACGACGCAGCTGTCCTGGGCGCAGAGGACCCAGCGGTGTACGGCGATTCTGCCCGTGAGAAGGCATTGCGTGGAGCTCTGCGAGCCTCCGTGGAACGGCGCCTGAGTCGCCACGACGTGGTCATCCTGGACTCGCTTAACTACATCAAAGGTTTCCGTTACGAGCTCTACTGCCTGGCACGGGCGGCGCGCACCCCGCTCTGCCTGGTCTACTGCGTACGGCCCGGCGGCCCGATCGCGGGACCTCAGGTGGCGGGCGCGAACGAGAACCCTGGCCGGAACGTCAGTGTGAGTTGGCGGCCACGCGCTGAGGAGGACGGGAGAGCCCAGGCGGCGGGCAGCAGCGTCCTCAGGGAACTGCATACTGCGGACTCTGTAGTAAATGGAAGTGCCCAGGCCGACGTACCCAAGGAACTGGAGCGAGAAGAATCCGGGGCTGCGGAGTCTCCAGCTCTTGTGACTCCGGATTCAGAGAAATCTGCAAAGCATGGGTCCGGTGCCTTTTACTCTCCCGAACTCCTGGAGGCCCTAACGCTGCGCTTTGAGGCTCCCGATTCTCGGAATCGCTGGGACCGGCCTTTATTCACTTTGGTGGGCCTAGAGGAGCCGTTGCCCCTGGCGGGGATCCGCTCTGCCCTGTTTGAGAACCGGGCCCCACCACCCCATCAGTCTACGCAGTCCCAGCCCCTCGCCTCCGGCAGCTTTCTGCACCAGTTGGACCAGGTCACGAGTCAAGTACTGGCCGGATTGATGGAAGCGCAGAAGAGCGCTGTCCCCGGGGACTTGCTCACGCTTCCTGGTACCACAGAGCACTTGCGGTTTACCCGGCCCTTGACCATGGCAGAACTGAGTCGCCTTCGTCGCCAGTTTATTTCGTACACTAAAATGCATCCCAACAATGAGAACTTGCCGCAACTGGCCAACATGTTTCTTCAGTATTTGAGCCAGAGCCTGCACTGACCAGAGGAGGTAGGGGGGAAGCCATGGCTTCTGATCTCCACTCCACTTTATTTCTCTGGGAAAAATAGGCTGCAGGTCTCCAGAGCATATCGATGCAGTACTGTACTAGAGCTGTTGTGACTGATTCACTCAAACTTTCCTGCATACCCCTGTGCCAGGCCTTGGGTTTACAGCATAAGTTCAGACTAAAGAGAATGGAGAACTATTGTGGTGCAACCTGGCAAATCCCTCAGAGGACAGAGCTAAGGTGGACAGGGATTACCTAGATTGGATCCTACTTGGGCTATCACAGAGCATTGACCATTGGCTTCCCTCATCTGAGGCGTGGGAGAGCAGACTGGATAGATGAGAATTGTTTTAAAACAATTGTGAACAGAAACTGAAGATGGTACAGTTCTACATCTGCACCTGCCCTTTTTTCATACCACAAAAGTATTTTTTGAGTACTGTACTGACTTTTTGCTAGTTTCTATTCTGGGACCGAGTTCACAGATAAATCCATTGGTTTGTATCCTTGAGAAACTTTGTTTTTGTGGAAGTAAGAAAGTTATCTACTAGATTATTTCCTCTAATAAAATCTTTTAAAATAGTCTACTGGAATCTCTTTCACTTAATGTTCCCTGTGTAACTTCATGTAACATTTTAGGTATACTTGTCATTGTTCTGCCTTTAAGTGAAGTAGTATTTTGATAGTTCTGAGAGAGTAGATGTTTTGAGCTACTCTACAGTAATTATATTATGACAATTTCCGTAACTGTTTTGCTTCATTCTGCATTTCAAGGCAAATATCATTGTAAGCTTGTCTTTCATTCTTCATTGATTTCATTGAACAAATGGTAGGTACCTACTTTAACAGTGGCTGTGATTTTCAAAGACCAATTAGATACAGTGTTTTTGCTCTTGAGATATGTGGTGAGAAGCCGGGTGTGGTGGCTCATACTTGTAATCCCAGCACTTTGGGAGTCCAAAATCGAGGTCAGGAGTTCGAGACCAGCCTGGCCAACGTGGCAAAACCTCGTCTCTATTAACAGTACAAAAATTAGTTGGGCGTGATGGTGTGCCTGTAATCCCAGCTACTCTGGAGGCTGAGGCACGAGAATCGCTTGAACCTGGGAGGTGGAGGTTGCAGTGAGCTGAGATCGCACCACTGCACTCCAGCCTGGGCAGCAGTGAAACTGGGTCTTGAAAAACAAACAAAAAGAGATATGTGGTGAGAAATACAAGTAAAAGATAGAATTAGGCTGGGTGCGGTGGCTCATGCCTGTAACCCCAGCACTTCAGGAGCCCAAGGCGGGTGGATCACAAGGTCAGGTGTTCAAGACCAGCCTGACCAACATGGTGAAACCCCATCTCTACTAAAAATACAAAAATTAGCCGGGCGTGGTGGCACGTGCCTGTAATCCCAGCTACTCAGGAGGCTGAGGCAGGAGAATCGCTTGAACCCGGGAGGCGGAGGTTGCAGTGAGCCGAGATCGCGCCACTGCACTCCAGCCTAGGTGACAGAAGGAGACTCCATCTCAAAAAAAAAAAAAAAAAGATAGGATGAAATGGGCTGGTGGTCAGAGGATGATGACAAAAGACAAAATGCTTTGGAAACCTGGTGAAGAGGACTAACTAGCTGTTGGGGGAGGTGGTTTTGGAAAGGTTTTAAGAGGAGTTAACATTTGAACCATCACTGTAGAATAAAGTCAGTAAAGGGCCAAATGGTAAATGTTTTAGGCTTTGTGGACCATCAAATGCTGTTGCTACTTATAGATGGTAAGTAAACAAATAAGCATGAATGTATTTTAATAAAACTACACTGAAATGTGAATTACAATTAATTTTAACATATCACAAAGGAGTCTTTAGATTTGCTTTGCAAACATTGAAAAATGTAAAAATATACAACAAAATATTTGCATATCATGGGCCCTACGGAAGCAGACGGTGGGCTGGATTTGGCCTGCAGACCCTAGTTTGCCAACCCCTGCTCTAGAAGGATAAACAGATGTTTGCCAGGGAGAAAAGAGAAAGCAAGACATTCGAAAACATGCATGCTCTGAAACTATGGAGCTGTTAAAAGAGAGGGTAGATGGGCTGCCTTGGTTGATGGTATATTCCTTGCTCATCAGGTAATCTATACTACCTTTTGTTTCTGATAAACAGGATTCATGTGTGAAATGGAAGTCTGGATGAGGCAAACTCAAAAGGCTTTTTCCAACCTTCATTAAGTTGGTTATTGATTGAATTGGGTCTAACCATGGATTCTGGATTACCATTCTAAATTGAAGTAGACTGTAACCGTCAGAAAGAACATTGGTTTTGGAGTCGGACTTCTGAGTTAGCTAGTAAGTGGCAGAACCTAGGTTTTTGTTTTGGGTTTTTATTTTTTTTTATTTATTTATTTTTGAGACAAGGTCTGGCTGTCTCCCAGGCTGGAGTGAAGTGCTGTGAGTAGCTGGGACTACAGGCATGCACCCCACGACCGGCTAAGTTTTGTATTTTTTTGTAGAGACAGGTTTTCACCATGTTGCCCTGGCTGGTCTTGGACTTGTGAGCTCAAGTGATCCTCCAGCCTCGGCCTCCCAAAGTGCTGAGATTACAGGTGTGAGCCACTGTGCCCGGCCTAGAACCTAGATTTTATGGGGCCAAATATTTACTCTATTGAGCATCTCAATTTTCTCATTTCTATTGTGAGACCATTAATAGTATCTACCCTAGGGTTATTTTGAGGATTTAAATGAGATAATGCATATACAGCACAATGTCATATAATAAACGTTCAGCACATTTTGGCTATTATGGTTACCTATATCCTACTACCCACCTAAACTTGCCCTGCTCATTTGGTTTACAAGCTTTTACAAGTATTGCAGGCAGAAGTCCATCCAGATGTGAGGTAGGCCTAAGGTGAGGTGACTGAATGATTCATTTGACACTTATTAAATGAGTTAATTTATGTATATTTACAGTAGTGCCTGGCACATGGCAAATGGTATATAAGTGTTTGCTATCAATAATATATGTGTCAGATGTAAAGGATATAGAGACAGCTAAGAGTTCCTTGTCTTAGGAATCTCCAAGTCCAGTGGAGGGAGATGGGTAAATAATAGGTACAGATCAATATGTTAAGTGCATGGTAGCTATTATACAGTGTATGTTGTTATGGTGACATGGGGTTGTGTGATGGAGAAAGCTAATGGCTACCTACTTACATGGGGTCTTCCTACTGTCATTTGAGCCTTGAGAGCTTAAGAGCTTCCTCTAGCCAGTCTGGTTCGGGTGGATTGCATTGCTCATTGTGAACAGTTTCCTCCCTGATTATGAAAATTATATTGTAGAAAAATCATGAAATACAGATGTAGTGTAAGGAAAACATCCACAGTCCCATCATCCACAGAAAACTGCTATTATTATGTTTTGGTACATTTTCTTTTAGGCTCTTTTCTCTGTACATATTTTATAATTAAAACCAGACTATAGATACATTTGTATCCTAGTTTTTTATATAAGCTACCAATGAAAAATTATTTTCAATGATTATATAACAATAATCATTTAGAAATACTGTAACATTTTGTTTGCTTTGAGACAGAGTCTGTTCTGTCGGCCAGGCTGGAGTGTAGTGGTGCGGTCTCAGCTCACTGCAACCTCTGCCTCCCAGGCTTAAGCAATTCTCATATTTCAGCCACCCCAGTAGCTGGGACTACAGGCACGTGCCACCACGCCCAGCTAATTTTTGTATTTTTAGTGGAGACAGGGTTTTGTTATGTTGGCCAGGCTGGTCTTGAATCCGTGGCCTCAAGTCATCTGCCCACTTCAGCCTCCCAAAGTGCTGGGATTACAGACATGAGCCACTGTGCCCAGCCCTCCCTAACTTTAAAGCCCAAGTTTGCAGAATTTACAGAAGTGTTAGAACTTAACAATAATTTTGTTACAGCAATTATCTATTATTATTGAACATTTGTCTAAAGATTTTCCCAATTGAAATAATACTACAGAAATGTCTTCACATATTAATCTTTATCATTAAATTTCAAGAAGTAGAATTACTAGATTATAATTTCTTTGTTTTGCTTTTAAGTGGACTGCCCCTGATGGTGATTATTCATAAATCCTGGTGTGGAGCTTGCAAAGGTAAGTGCAAATGCTCAATCTAAATTCAAAACTCAGATGTGTTGTTAAATATTAACATTTAACAAATATTGGCACTGACTCTGGCCCAGCACTACTGACTGTTTAAGGAATACTAAAGAAACATATGACATAGATTTCCTGCCTTCATGAAATTTGCAATTATATTTGGAGGGGATTTTAGGGAAGTTAAGGTGATTAAGATACAGTTATGTCACGTATGGGATTAAGTGCTAAAATGTCAAATGAACAATACATGTTAGAGGAAGCTGAAATGTACGGACAGAGACATGAGAAGGAAGTAGGACCCAAATTAGAACCCAAGTTATCTGACTCTGTGGCATGTGTTCTTTCTGCTATACCACCTTGCCACTTCCCCAGACAGGCTTTTTCTTTTATTTAGTATGCTGCACTTAAAATCCTAGATGGAAAAGGAGTGTAAAAAATAGTATAAAAGACCAGGCGCAGTGGCTCATGCCTGTAATCCCAGCACTCTGGGAGGCTGGGCCGGGCAGATCACTTGAGGCCAGGAGTTGACCAGCCTGCCCAACATAGTGAAACCCCGCCTCTACTAAAAATACAAAAAAAGTAGCTGGATTTGGTGGCACGCGCCTGTAATCCTAGCTACTCGGGAGGCTGAGAATCGCTTGAGCCCGAGAGGCGGAGGTTGCAGTGAGCTGAGATCGTACCATTGTACTCCAGCCTGGGTGACAGAGTGAGACTCTGTCTCAAAAATAATAATAATAATAGGAATGTATGTGTGTATATAACATATATACACATATATACATAACATATATAACATATAATATATACGTATATATGTATATATGTATATATAACATATATACACACATACATATATGTATACACACACATATACACGTGTGGCAGACTGTCACTCTATTGTCTTTCATGTCAATGGTTTTTGAAATGTAACTATAAAAAGCAAATAATGCTTTTCCCCCCTATTCGTATGCCATTATCCTTATTTTATAAATGAGGTAACAGCTTCAGAGAAATGAAGTAAGTCACTCAAGGTCACATAGCTGTGCAGGTTCAGAATCCAGGTAGCCTAATTCTTGTTTTTTAGAGTGTAAAAAAAGTTTGTTATATGAATCAACTAAACAAATGCCTAAACTACCAAAGAGAAATAGTGATGCTTATGTTCGTTAAGGTTTAGTTGTGACAATGATGTTTTTTCTTCTATTCCAAAATCTTTTTCCCCCCAGCTCTAAAGCCCAAATTTGCAGAATCTACGGAAATTTCAGAACTCTCCCATAATTTTGTTATGGTAAATCTTGAGGTAAGACTTTGAGAGTTTCTCCTTTCTGCTATGATTTTAAGACTTTTAAAGTTAGTATCATTCGTGCATATTCATTACAGCTTCATTAGTGGTATGAAGTCAAATTTATGTATGTGTTTTTCTCTTGACCGCTAATACTAAGGCTTGCATCAGATATGTTAGAAAGCCATCTAACATCTATTTCTGGGAGGAACTAGGAGAGGAGAGATTGAATAAGATGACTAAATTTTTTTTTTTTTTATATGGAGTCTGGCTCTGTTGCCCAGGCTGGAGTGCAGTGGTGCGATCCTGGCTCGCTGCAACCTCCTCCTCCCGGGTTAAATCAATTCTCCTGCCTCCGCCTCCCGAGTGGTTGGGACTACAGGCATGCACCACCACACCAGGCTAATTTTTATATTTTTAATAGAGATGGGGTTTTGCCATGTTGGCCAGGTTGGTCTCAAACTCCTGACCTCTGGTGATCTACCCACCTTAGCCTCCCAAAGTGCTAGGATTACAGATGTGAGCCACCGCGTTTGGCCAATTTTTGTATTTTTAGTAGATATGAGGGTCTCACAATGTTGGCCAGGCTAGTCTCAAACCCCTGACCTTAAGTGATCTGCCTGCCTCGGCCTCCCAAAATGCTGGGATTACAGGCGTGAGCCAGCATGCCCAGCCTTAAGATGACTAGATTTTAAGGTCCTTTTATCCTTAGTTTATGATTATGACATGTTTTATGTCTTTGTAAAGCTAGACTAAAGGTATAGTCATACATGCAGACCACAACTTTCTGCAAAATGTGATTCAACTGAGCACCTAATCTGTGTTGGGCTTATATGTGCAACCTGCTTGTTTCCTTATGAAAATAGCTTTTACATACCTCATATAGGCTGCAGGTCTTGGAATCCTGAGTCATAGAATGTCAGATCTTAGAGTTGGAAGGGATTTTTAGGCTATTGGTACTATCCTCATTTTACAGAAAGAACCATCTTAGGCCTGAAGCAGGTATGTGATTTGGTCAAGGTCATAGAGCCTAATAAGTGATAAGAATAGGTACTCTCACCTAGCCGTGCTCTCTTTCAGGCCATACTTTTCACATGTGAGGTACTCAGATGCTCTATGATGATACCGCTAGCCATACGTTTCTGTAAAAATAATGTTTACTTGGGCCAGACATGGTGGCTCATGCCTGTAATCTCAGCACTTTGGGAGGCTGAGGTGGGTAGATCATGAGGTCAGGAGTTCAAGACCAGCCTGGCCAATATGGTGAAACCCTGTCTCTACTAAAAATACAAAAAAATTAGCTGGGTGTGGTGGTGCGTGCCTGTAGTCCCAGCTACTAGGGAGCCTGAGGCAGGAGAATCGCTTGACCCAGGAGGCAGAGGTTGCAGTGAGCTGAGATCGCGCCACTGCACTCCAGCCTGGGTGAGAGAGTGAAACTCCATCTCAAAAAAGAGAAAAAAAAAAAAAAAGATAATGTTTACTTAAACATAGGTCTGGGACTCTTGTGAACACATTAACAGTTAACAGTGAGGCAGCTAAGGGATTGCTTATATAGCTAGGGGATAGCCTGAATGCTGATACACCTCACCATAGCGAAGTATTTAACCCCTGAAATGGGAACCACATCATAAATTGTGAAAGTATTGATTGCCTTTGCACATGAATTCCTCACCACTTTCTGTGGTGAATTAGGATTCCTACTCAAAGGAAACAGTAAAAACGTCTTCATAGAGGATTCTCCAACTTTGGAAATTTCTTAAAAAGAAAACTGATTAGGCCGGGCGTGGTGGCTTATGCCTGTGATCCCAGCACTTTGGGAGGCCAAGGCAGGTGGATCACAAGGTCAGGAGATTGAGACCATCCTGGCTAACATGGTGAAACCCCGTCTCTACTAAAAATATAAAAAAATTAGCTGGGCATGGTGGCGGGCACCTGTAGTCCCAGCTACTCAGGCAGCTGAGGCAGAAGATGGCATGAACCCAGGAGGCGGAGCTTGCAGTGGGCCGAGATCGCACAACTGCACTCCAGCCTGGGCGACAGAGCGAGACTCCGTCTCAAAAAAAAAAAAAAAGAAAACTGATTGTGTAGGTTTTTAATCTCCTGGGAGGACTATGAGTCCACAACTTTGACTAAAATGCCAGTCTTATTGATTCATGCACTAAAGAAATACTATGTGCAAGTCAATGATGTAGGTACTAGGAATATAGCAGTGAACAAAACAGACAAAATTTCCTCGTTGAAATAACATGCTAGTGTGGGAAGACAGAAAATAAGTATTTTAGAATATGTCAGATGGTGGTAAATGCTAGGGCTAAAAAAGAAAGGTGGAAGGGATGACTGTGGTTTTAAATAGATGGTTTGAAAATAAAGGGATATTTGAGCAAAGGTCTGAAACAGAAAAGGGAGTCAACCATGTGGATAATAATGGGGAAAGTGTGTTCAGCAGAGAGTTAAGAGCAAGTCCAAAAGCCTGTGTTAGGATTATCCCTGGCTTGTTTAATGACAGCAACAGCAAGAGGTCAGTGTAGCTGAAGAGGACTTAACAAGGGGTAGGACATTAAGTTAGAGAAGTGCCTAGGTGATAGATCATGTAGGGCCTTATAGGCCACTGCAAGGACTTGGGGTTTTGCCCTGACAAGTGGGGAAGCCACTGAATGGTTTTGAGGAGAGAGAGGACGTTATCTGACTTAAGGTTTACATTTAATCTTAATAGGATGAAGAGGAACCCAAAGATGAAGATTTCAGCCCTGACGGGGGTTATATTCCACGAATCCTTTTTCTGGGTAAGGCACATGATCTTAACCTGGGAATCCATGATGTGGATGGAGAGAGAAATGAATCAAGGCACTGACTTCACCTAGTGAAACTATACCAGGATGACCACAAACAAATAAAAACCAGTTTCAAGAGAGAGTGGGGGAGTTCTGAATGCTAGAACTACAAGTCTGAAGGAAAACTTTTCCCATTAACTAACTGCTTTTGTAAGCAATGACAAAAGTTTGGCCGGGCACAGTGGCTCATGCCTGTAGTCTCAGCACTTTGGGAGGCTGAGATGGGTGAATTGCTTGAGTCCAATTTGAGACCAGCATGGGCAACACGGTGAAAGCCCGTCTCTACAAAAAGTACAAAAATTAGCCGGGTGTGGTGGCACGCACCTGTAGTCTCAGCTATTTAGGAGGCTGAGGCGGGAGGATCAATTGAGCCTGGGAGGTCAAGGCTGCAGTGAGCCATAATCACGCCACTGCCCTTGAGCCTGAATGACAGAAGGAAACTGAATGACCCTGTCTCAAAAAAAAAAAAAAGAGTTTGATCATTTATTCACTTCAATAGCCATTTGCGCATCAGCCATATGTCAAGCACTGTATTAGACACTACAGAGACAGATATAAGCCAGAATTCTCACCCTTGAACCTATAGTGCACCTAAGGCAATGGAATAATATAACCAGATAAATGTCTTTCCACAAATAATTTTATAAGAGATATTTAATGACCACCTAATCTTTGTTCAGCATAAATTCTGCTAGGTTTTATGGGGGATAGAAGTCAAAATCATCAAGCAGAAAAGGAAGCAGAAATGTAGGAGGTATTATGGTGAGGTAATGGGCTGCAAATATGGGCAGATCTTATTTCCCAGAGGGCCCGATGTACCAGGTAGTGTTTGAAGTACCTGTCTGTTGTAATTACTGCAAAACTCTGTGTCATTTTGTCTATAACAGATCCCAGTGGCAAGGTGCATCCTGAAATCATCAATGAGAATGGAAACCCCAGCTACAAGTATTTTTATGTCAGTGCCGAGCAAGGTATAGTTATGCTGAAGGGAGGGAGGATTATTGCTAGATTGAACTAGGATGAACCACATGCAAGGTCTGTGATAGGAAAGTAAATTCAGCATGTTAGCTGAGCATCTCCTGCATGTCTATAGCTTTTGGCCAGATCCTGTGTAGGATATAGGAGGAAGATGAGACTGAGCCCCTTCCCTTGGAAGAGCTGACTGACCCACAGGCAGCTGTGAAGAACTGAGGCACACAAGTGACTGAGGTAGTCACTTGCCCATAGTTTCATAGTTAAGTAGCAGAGCCAGAATTTGAGTCCAGAACTTAGTTTTTTTCCTACTGAGCTAATACTGTTTTTCCTATGAAAATTCAGTGGAAGAGGAATAGTGTTAGGTGAACAAGTCTAAGAGGTTTTATAGATATTAAACTTAAATAGGCCGAGCACAGTGGCTCATACCTGTAATCTCAGCACTTTGGGAGGCCGAGGCAGGCAGATCACTTGAGGTCAGGAGTTCAAGACCAGCCTGGCCAACATGGCAAAGCCCCATCTCTACTAAAAATACAAAAAATAGCTGAGCGGGCTGGGCGTGGTGGCTCACGCCTGTAATCCCAGCACTTTGGGAGGCCGAGGCGGGAGGATCATGAGGTCAGGAGATTGAGACCATCCTGGCTAACATGGTGAAACCCCGTCTCTACTAAAAATACAAAAAATTAGCTGGCGTGGTGGCAGGTGCCTGTAGTCCCAGCTACTCGGGAGGCTGAGGCAGGAGAATGGCGTGAACCCGAGAGGCAGAGGTTGCAGTGAGCCAAGATCGTGCGCCATTGCACTCTAGCCTGGGTGACAGAGCGAGACTCTGTCTCAAAAAAAAAAAAAAAAAAAAACCAAAAAAACCCCGAAACGTAAACGGACCTAGAAGGATAAAAATTTCATCTCTGGACAGATATGAGGAGGACATTTCAAGCTATGGAAGTGAAGTGGCGGGGGAATGTAGCCCAACATAGAGTTTGTAAGGCTTGCTAGAAGAAATAATGACTGGATTAAGCCTTAGAGAATAAGACCTTGTCAGTAGCAGAATGGGAAAAGCATGTTCCAGGAGAGAGAAGAGCACCAGCACAAACAAGTGAAGGAAGTTTGCAATCGTCAGCCAGTCATGCTTTTTTGTTCTCTAATCTTTGAGCACAGTCATTCTGGAGGCAGGGGTTGGAATTCATGCCATGTATTGTTGCTGCTTTCCTTCCTTTTCCCCTCATCTATGAAAGGGAGTTGTGTGCTAAGTTGCCATGTGTCCCTATTTGCCATGCTGCCAGGCTGTTGATCACTTTATGATTTGAGTCCTTGATACTCTTATTCTCAGACTAGGGACGGGGAGGAGATCTGTAGAAGCTATTACCTTCTTCCCCTGAGTAAGGAGAATGTCATGTTCCTTAACCAAATGCAGATCACTGGAGATTGGTATCAAAGGGAAATTTTCCACGTGGAGAAGGGCAGCTGGGCTTTAGGTCTCCAATTCTTGTATCTTGAGATTCACCTTCCCTTTAGAATTTCATCCAAGTTACCACTGCTGTCTCCACACTGACATAGTCCAGATGTGAACATGAGACCCTTCCCTGAATCCTCCATCTCTCAGCTGACATGAAACTGGAACATTCAAACCCAGCTTTACTAAAGGCATAGGCAAAACAAAACAGAAATAACAAACTGTATTATCTGCCTCTTATGAGCTTATGGTTTGGCTTTGCAAGATTCATAGACTCTGGCTCAACCCAGCTTCTGGCCTGCCATTATATAGGGGTGCTTTGTAGAACCACCATTCAGGAGCCTATACTGAAATAGCTGTCCCCCTTGAGTCTAAATCCATAAGCAGGATGCCCCAAGACAGACAAGAAGTTTCATCTCGAGTCTACTTAAGGCCCTCCTTCCAGGTTTCTCTCTCTCTTTTTTTTTTTTTTTTTTTTTGGCCTGAGAACTTGGCTTCATCCATGTATAGTTGATACTGGAAATGACGACCCCCTTCAGTAGAGACACCCCCGCCCCAGCACACACACCCCTCAGTGTAATCTGTAACCTCCACAGGAAGTAAAATAAGTGCAACATTCATCCAAAAGATACAATGGGGACGGTAGGAAGGTGTTTCCTCTTCCCTGGGGGTGAAGTGAACATCTACAGTCTAGGACAGGGGATCAGCTCTAATCCTAGAGGGTAAGCCAAAATAACTGCTAAGATTTTGGTATGACTTCGTAGTTGATAAAGCACTTTTATTATCCATTCTCCCATTTAACTTTTATAATACTGTGTGAAGTGAGTTACATTATTTCATTTTATAAATGAGGAAACAAATTCAAAGAGATAAATGACTTGCCAGGGCCAAAATCCAGAGCTAGATCTTGAGTCCAGATCTTGTACTCCTCTCATATTTCTTCTGAAACATTTAAAAGTGTACATTGGTTGTCAAATGTCAAACATTACTTACTTCATACTTTTTTCCTCCAATCTTTATTTCACAGTTGTTCAGGGGATGAAGGAAGCTCAGGAAAGGCTGACGGGTGATGCCTTCAGAAAGAAACATCTTGAAGATGAATTGTAACATGAATGTGCCCCTTCTTTCATCAGAGTTAGTGTTCTGGAAGGAAAGCAGCAGGGAAGGGAATATTGAGGAATCATCTAGAACAATTAAGCCGACCAGGAAACCTCATTCCTACCTACACTGGAAGGAGCGCTCTCACTGTGGAAGAGTTCTGCTAACAGAAGCTGGTCTGCATGTTTGTGGATCCAGCGGAGAGTGGCAGACTTTCTTCTCCTTTTCCCTCTCACCTAAATGTCAACTTGTCATTGAATGTAAAGAATGAAACCTTCTGACACAAAACTTGAGCCACTTGGATGTTTACTCCTCGCACTTAAGTATTTGAGTCTTTTCCCATTTCCTCCCACTTTACTCACCTTAGTGGTGAAAGGAGACTAGTAGCATCTTTTCTACAACGTTAAAATTGCAGAAGTAGCTTATCATTAAAAAACAACAACAACAACAATAACAATAAATCCTAAGTGTAAATCAGTTATTCTACCCCCTACCAAGGATATCAGCCTGTTTTTTCCCTTTTTTCTCCTGGGAATAATTGTGGGCTTCTTCCCAAATTTCTACAGCCTCTTTCCTCTTCTCATGCTTGAGCTTCCCTGTTTGCACGCATGCGTGTGCAGGACTGGCTGTGTGCTTGGACTCGGCTCCAGGTGGAAGCATGCTTTCCCTTGTTACTGTTGGAGAAACTCAAACCTTCAAGCCCTAGGTGTAGCCATTTTGTCAAGTCATCAACTGTATTTTTGTACTGGCATTAACAAAAAAAGAGATAAAATATTGTACCATTAAACTTTAATAAAACTTTAAAAGGAAATGTGCTGTGATGGCCTTTTTGTTATTGGAAAAGGAGGGAGGGATGGAGATCACTTCAGGAAGAAAACTAACCTAGAGGACCTAATCTAGGAGTCCTAACCTAGGACTCCTGCTCCTTCACCTCCCACATTCAAATGAGCACAATGGCTCCTCTCTTTTACTTTTTAAATACCTGAATTTCCTCTGTCCACACTATCACTGTTTTAGCACGGGGCAGGCTTTTTCTCTCTTCGACTATTTATTGCTATAGCCCCTTAACTTGCCTATTGGCTCTAATATTCCCTCCTCCTGCAATCGATCCATATCACTCCCCTGTTTAAAACCTTTCCTGGCTGGACACAGTGGCTCACGCCTGTACTCCCAGCACTTTGGGAGGCCAAGGTGGGCGAATCACCTGAGGTAGGGAGTTCGAGACCAGCCTGGCCAACATGGCGAAACCCCGGCTCTACTAAAAATACAAAATTAGGCCGGGCGCGGTGACTCACGCCTGTAATCCCGGCACTTTGGGAGGCCGAGGCGGGCGGATCACGAGGTCGGGAGATCGAGACCACGGTGAAACCCCGTCTCTACTAAAAATACAAAAAAAAAAAAAAAAATTAGCCAGGCGCGGTGGTGGGCGCCTGTAGTCCCAGTTACTCGGGAGGCTGAAGCAGGAAAATGGCGTGAACCCGGGAGGCGGAGCTTGCAGGGAACCGAGATCGCACCACTGCACTCCAGCCTGGGTGACAGAGCGAGACTCCGTCTCAAAAAAACAAAACAAAACAAAAACAACAAAATTAGCCGGATGTGGTGGCACATGCCTGTAATCCCAGCTACTCAGGAGGCTGAGGCAGGAGAATCGCTTGAACCCGGGAGGCGGAGGTTGTGGTGAACTGAGATTGTGCCATTGCACTCCAGCCTGGGCAACAAGAGTGAAACTCCATCTCAAAAAAAAAAAAAAAAAAAAAAAAAAAAAAAACCTTTCCAGCCATCTTTAAGATAATAGTATTAATGGTAGGAGATATTTGAACCTCAGTCTGTGCCAAGTACTCTTCTAAGTGCTTTATATATGTTATCCCATTTAGTTTCACTTTAGTACTCCTAACAGCCCTGTGATAAAGGTACTACTGTACTCCCAGAGTACAGAGGAAGAATTTGAAACATAAGGAAGCCAAGACACAGGATAAAGTCAAGATCTTTACCATGGCCTTTAAGAAGCTGCCTACTTCTTCAACCTCATTTATTCCCATTTATGTTTTTGCATTATGTGTTCTTGTGACACCAAATTGCTTTGAGTTCTCCTGACAACATGCTGTTTTATGCTTTTCTATCTTCGTTCATCTTGTTTCCTCAGCCTAAAATATGTTCTTTCTGTTCTTCCTTCATACCCATTTTGAGCCACTTCTTCCAGAGAGTCTTCCCTGATCTTTCTCATGAGGATAAAATATCCTTTCCCCAATACATCTATCATAGCCCTGGACCACTTTACATTGAAGTAACCCAATTGCACATCTGGGGCTGTCATCAGGTGGCCATTCTCCTCGAGGGCAGAAGCTAGTCCTCTGTCCTGTGTATCTAAAACTTTCAGGTGACTTGCCAAGGTCTATGTTAGGTTCTTTTCATCCATTCTCTAAACACCATCAGTGGTCCTGTGGGATAGGTATTAGTAACGTCATTTTAGGGGGAACTTTAGAGAAGGCAAAGACTAGCCAGGTTCTTTTGTTGTTGTTGTTGTTGTTGTTGTTGTTTGAGACGGAGTTTCGCTCTTATTGCCCAGGCTGGAGTGCAATGGCGAGGTCTTGGCTCACCGCAACATTGAATGCCTCCCGGATTCAAGCGATTCTCCTGCCTCTGCCTCCCAAGCAGCAGGGATTACAGGCACCCATCACCATGCTCATCTAATTTGTTTTTTTTTTTTTTTTTTTTTTGGGGGGGATGGAGTCTCGCTCTTGTCACCCAGGCTGGAGTCCCGTGGTGTGATCTCGGCTCACTGTAACCTCTGCCTCCTGGGTTCAAGCTATTCTCCTGCTTCAGCCTCCTGAGTAGCAGGGATTACAGGAGCCCCCCCACCACGCCCAGCTAATTTTTGTACTTTTAGTAGGGACAGGATTTCGCCATGTTGGCCAGACTGGTCTCGAACTCCTGACCTCAGGGTGATCCACCCTCCTCGGCCTCCCAAAGTGCTGGGATTATAGGCATGAGCCATTGTGCCCGGCCTAATTTTTGTATTTTTAGTAAAGATGGGGTTTTAGTAAAGACCATGGTGGCCAGGCTGGTGTCAAACTCCTGACCTTTAGGTGATCCACCTCCATCAGCCTCCCAAAATGCTGGGATTATAGGTGTGAGCCACCAAGCTCAGCAGACTTCAGGTTCTAAACTAAGTAAATACTGGATTCTAACCAGCGTTGTCTGATTCCATATTCATGATTTTCCAACCACATTACTTCCTTTATGTCCTGAGGTGTCTCATTGGAACGAGTTTTATTTTTTCTTTCTTTCCTTTTTTTTTTTTTTGAGATGAAGTCTCGCTCTTGTCCCCCAGTCTGGAGTGCAATGGTGCGATCTCGGCTCACTGCAACCTCCACCTCCCAGGTTCAAGCGATTCTCCTGCCTCAGCCTCCCGAGTACCTGGGATTACAGGTGCATACCACCACACCCAGCTAATTTTTTGTATTTTAAGTAGAGACGGGGTTTCACCATGTTGGCCAGGCTGGTCTCAAACTCCTGACCTCAGGTGATCCGCCTGTCTCGGCCTCCCAAAGTGCTGGGATTACAGGCTTGAGCCACCATGCCCAGCCTTGCTTTGCTTTGTTTTGCTTTTCCTTCCTTCCTTCCTTCCTTCCCTCTTTCCTTCCCTTCTTTCTTTTTCTTTCTTTCTGTTTTCTTTTTTTCTTTTTTTTTTTTGAGACAGAGTATCGCTCTGTCGCCCAGGATGGAGTGCGTGCAGTGGTGCGATCTCGCCTCACTGCAACCTCCGCCTCCTGGGTTCAAGCAATTCTTGTTCCTCAGCCTCCCCATTACCTGGGATTATAGGTGTGTGCCACCACACCCGGCTAATTTTTGTATTTTTTGTAGGGATGGGGTTTCACCATGTTGTCCAGGCTGATCTTGAACTCCTGACCTCAAGTGATCCACCCGCTTCGGCCTCCCGAAGTGCTGGGATTACAGGTGTGTGCCACTGCGCCTGGCATTTTTTATTTTTTATTTTTTATTTTTTTTAGATGGGATCTTGCCCTGTCACCCAGGCTGGAGGGCAGGGGTGCAATCTTGGCTTACTGCAACCTCCACCTCCCAAGCTCAAGCAATCCTCCCATCTCAGCCTCCTAAATAGCTAGGCCCACAGGTACCAGCCACCATGCCCAGCTAATTTTTTAATTTTTTGTAGAGATGGGGTTTCACCATGTTGCCCAGGCCGGGGTATAGGAGTTTTCTTTTTCTTTTTTCTTTTCTTTTTTTTTTTTTGAGACGAAGTCTTACACTGTCACCCAGGCTGGAGTGCACTGGTGTGATCTCAGCTCACTGCAACCTCTGCCTCCTGGGATCAGGCAGTTCTCTTGCCTCAGCCTCCTGAGTAGCTGGGATTATAGGCATGTGCCACTACACCTGGATAATTTTTGTATTTTTAGTAGAGACAGGGTTTCACCATGTTGGCCAGGCTGGTCTTGCTCCTGACCTCAGGTGATCCACCCACCTTGGCCTCCTAAAGTGCTGGGATTACTGGTGTGAGCCACCGCACTCAGCCCAGGAGTTTTCAATCTGGGGTACATAAAGACTTTACATGGAATACATGGACATAGAAACTTTAGTGAATTTTTTTCTAGATCTTCATCTTCCTAAAACTGATTTCCTAGGATTCCTCAAAAAATTAAAATTATCATGTGATTAAGCAATTCCCCCTCTAGGTATATACCCGGAAGAACTGAAAACAGAATCTTGAACAGATTATTTGTAAAACCTGTGTTCATAGCAGCATTATTCGCATCAGCCAAAAAGTGGAAGTAAACCAAGTGGCCACTGAGAAATGAATTGGTAAACAAAAGGTGTTATGTACAGACTGGGCAAGGTGGCTCACGCCTGTAATCCCAGCACTTTGGGAGGCTGAAGAGAGGATCGCTTGAGCCCAGGAGTTCCAGATCAGCCTGGGCAACATAGTGAAAACCCGTCTCAATAAAAAATAAATAAAAATAAAAATGTGGTTTGTACATGCAACGAAATATTATTAGCCTTAAAAAGAAAGGAAATTCTGACATGTGCTACAACATGGATGAACCTTAAAGATGTTCCAAGTGAAATAAGTCAAGCACAAAAGAACAAATATTATATGATTCCACCGACATGAGCTACCTAAAATAGTCAAATTCCTAGAGACAGAAAGTAGAATGGTGGTTGCTAGGGGTTGGTGGGAGGGTGAATGGGGAGTTAGTGTTTAATGGATACAGAGTTTCAGTTTTGGAAAATGAAAAATTTCTGGAAAGGGATGGTGGTGATGGTCGCCAAATAATGTGAATGTACTTAACACCACTGAACTGTACATTTAGAAATGGTTACAACAGTAAATTTTATGCATATTTCACCATAATAAAGGTGATTTCCCAGGAAATGTCAGCAAGATCAAGAGTCCCCAGACCCTGGGCTGCATGCTGGTACCTGTCCATGGCCTGTTAGGAACTGGGCCACACAGCAGGAGGTGAGTGGTGGGCAAGCAAGCATTACTGCCCAAGCTCTGCCTTCTGTCAGATCAGTGGCGGCATTAGATTCTCATAGGAAAGCGAATCCTACTGTCAACTGTGCCTGCAAGGGATCTAGGTTGTGTGCTCCTTATGAGAATCTAACTAATGCTTGATGATCTGAGGTGGAGCAGTTTCATCCCAAAACCAACCCTGCTGCCTCAGTCCATGGAAAAACTCTTTCACAAAACTGGTCCCTGGTGCCCAAAAGGTTGGGGATCACTGATCAAGATAGTTCATTCCCACCTTCTTTGTCACTATTCACCTTTCCCCATCCTATGGGGAAAAAAAGGCATACCTCTTACTCACCCTGAATTTTAATATGTTACATTGTCCTATTTTGTAAAAGCCAAACAAAGGAAACCTAAAATGGGACTAAGCGGCCCAGTGAGGTGGCTCATGCCTGTAATCCCAGCACTTTGGGAGGTCAAGGTGGGAGGAGCACCTGAGGTAAGGAATTAGAGACCAGCCTGGCCAACATGGTGAAACCCCACCTCTACTAAAAATTCAAAAATTAGCTGGGCATGGTGGCGTGTGCCTGTAATCCCAGCTACTTGGGAGGCTGACTTAGGAGAATCGCTTGAACCTGGGAAGCGGGGTTGCAGTGAGCCAAGATTGCGCCACTGCACTCCAGCCTGGACAACAGAGCGAGACCCTGTCTCAAAATAAAATAAAATAAAATAAAATAAAATAAAATAAAATGTGACTAAACTTTCTTGATTAGAGGCTTTTTGTCTTGTACATAGTTCTGTCCAAACATGGTTCTGTGAAGAGCAAAACCTGACATGAGCAATGGGACAGTTTGCACAGTTTGATGATATTTTGAATTTAGACATAATAAACTGGCAGTGATGAAATTTTGCTTCCTCCAATCCTCAAGTATTATTAAAGAAGGCACTTCTCCTGAGGAAGAGTTCTGAGGAGCATTGGTAAAGTTTTGAAGTCATCCAGGTGGGAAATTCATGACAAGCCTTCACCTCTTAGAACTGGAATTTGGAATATCTTGAATTAGAATTTGGAATATTTTAGGATTAAAATTTGGAACATTTTAGGATTAGAATTTGGAACTAAAATAGTTGTCATAGGGAGTTATGTTAACGTATTTATTTGCATTGGAAAATGAAGAATAGAGTTACAATGTTGCTTCTGGGCAAAGACTTGAACAGACATTTCCCAAAAGAAGACATATGAATGGCCAAAAAGCACATGAAAATGTGTGACTATTAGGTATCAGAGAAATTCAGATTAAAACTATGATGAGATACCATTTCCCAACTGCCAGAATTGCTAAAATTAAGAAAAAACTGATGATACTAAGTGTCAGAGAGGATGTGGGACAACTGGAACTCTTATATATTGCTACTAAGAGTGTAAAATGGTACTACTTTGGAAACAGTTTGCAATATTTAATAAAGCTAAATATACACTTACTATGTAACCCACAAATCCCAGAATTATATGACTATATGGATTATATGAAACATAGGAACACAACACACACACACATACACACACCCACACACAAGCTTATCAAAAATATTCATGGGCAGGTGTGGTGGTTCATGCCTGTAATCTTAGCACTTTGGGAGGCCGAGGTGGGAGGATCACTTGAGGCCAGGAGTTTGAGACCAACCTAGGCAACATAATGAGACCCTTTCCCTACAAAAAATTGCCAGGCATAGGGTAGTGCACTTACAGTCCCTGGTACTTGGGAGGTTGGGGCAGAAGAATCACTTGAGCCCAGAAGTTTGAGGCTGTCATGAGCTGTGATCATGCCACTGCAGCCCAGCTTGGGTGACAGTGGGACCCATCTTAACAAATAAAATGTGAAAAAGTATGTTTATGGCAACTTTATTCATAATATCCAAAAAACTGGATTCATCCTCAATGCCTATCAACAAATAAATGGATAACATTTGGTATATTCATACAAAAGGGTACCACTCAGAATGAAACAGAACAAACTGGCCAGGCACGGTGACTCACGCCTATAATCCCAGCACTTTGGGAGCCCAAGGTGGGTGGATCACGAGGTCAGGACATCGAGACCATCCTGGCTAACACAGTGAAACCCTGTCTCACTAAAAAATACAAAAAAAATTAGCCGGGCGTTGTGGGAGGCACCTGTAGTCCCAGGTACTCGGGAGGCTGAGGCAGGAGAATGGCATGAACCCAGGAGGCAGAGCTTGCAGTGAGCTAAGATTGCGCCACTGTGCTCCAGCCTGGGCGACACAGCGAGACTCCGTCTCAAAAAAAAAAAAAAAAATTAACTGGGTGTGGTGGTGTGCACCTGTAGTCCCAGCTACTTGGGAGGCTGAGGCAGAAGAATCACCGGAACTGGAAGGTGGAGGGCAGAGGTTGCAGTGAGCCGAGATTGCATCACTGCACTCCAGCCTGGGTGACAGAGCAAGACTCCATCTCGGAAAAAAAAAAAAAAAGAAAAGAAAAGAAAAAGAACACACTACTGATAACATGCAACAACATGGATGAATTTCAGAAGCATATTGAGTGAAAAGACAGGCCAAAAAAATGGTATATTTATATAAAGTTTTGGAACAGGCAAAGCTTAACTATAGCAGGAGAAAGCAGATCAGTGGTTACGTGGCATTGGGGATGGGGGTGAGAAGGGTTTGACTGCAAAGGCACCAGAAGGAACATTCTGTGGTGATGGAAATGTTGATTGTGGTGGTTACACAGTTGTTTATATTTGTCAAAATACATTGAATCATAAACTAGACATGTGAATTTTTTTTTTTTTTTTGAGATTGAGTCTTGCTCTGTTGCCCAGGCTGGAGTGCAGTGGCACCATCTAGGCTCACTGCAACCTCTGCCTCCTGGGTTCAAGCTATCCTCCTGCCTCAGCCTCCTGAGTAGCTGGGATTACAGGCATGCGCCACCACGCCTGGCTAATTTTTGTACTTTTAGTAGAGACGGGGTTTCGCCATGTTGGCCAGGCTTGTCTCGAACTCCTGACCTCAGGTGATCCACCCGCCTCTGCCTCCCAAAGTGCTGGAATTACAGGCGTGAACCACCGCGTCTGGCCGACATGTGAATATTTATTGTGTGTAATTTATACCTCAATATATTTGATTTTTTGTTTGTTTGTTTGTTTGTTTTAAGACAGAGTCTCACTCTGTCACCAGGCTGGAGGCATGATCTCAGCTCACTGCAATCTCTGCCTCCCTGGTTCAAGTGATTCCCCTGCCTCAGCCTCCCGAGTAGCTGGGACTATAGGCATGCACCACCATGCCTGGCTAATTTTTTGTATTTTAGTAAAGACAGGGTTTTACCATGTTGGCCAGGATGGTCTCTATCTCCTGACCTCGTGATCTGCCTGCCTTGGCCTCCCAAAGTGCTGGGATTACAGGTGTGAACTACCGTGGCCGGCCTGGAGTAGGTGAATTTTTAAAATATTTAAGAGAAAAAATAAACAATAACTGATGATTAAGGAGAGAGGTTAGAAGAAGTCAAAGACAGGTCTCAGGTTTCTGGCATGTAAAACAGCAGAGGGTGGTGCTATTTACTTATTGGATAAGGAACACTGCAAGAGAGAGAAAGATCACTGTTAGGACTACCAGAATCTATTTCTTTTTTTTTCTTTTTCTTTTTTTTTTTTTGGTCCTTTAGGGGTTCTAAAACAACGTACAAAAATACATTAGTTTGCCCAGCTGCCTATCAGGATATTTATTGGCACATGTACCCAATAGGCCTGGGGAGTTGAATAAAGGATTATCCATGCAAGTATAAATTAGAAAGACAAATTTCAAAAATGATTTTATCAACCAAACTTCCCTCTCTCACTTCCAAATCCTATATCTCCTCCTATTAAGAGGATTTATCTAAGAGGAGCCATTTGGGTGGAATTGTGAAAGCAGAAGCTGGAGTGGAGCGGTAGAGGCTGAAAAAAAGAATACGAGCATTCGAGACCAGCCTGGGCAACACGGCAAAACCCCGTCTCTACAAAACAGAGTGGGGTGTGGCGGAGCTACCTGTGGTCCCCTCTACTCAAGGGACTGAGGTGGGAGGATCACTTGAGCCCAGGAGCCGGAGGTTGCAGTGAGCTGAGATGGTGCCACTGCAGTCTAGCCTGGCTGACAGAGTGAGACCTGGTCTAACAATAATAATAAGAGTTCTCTAGCAAGCAGACTCAGAATAAATAAATAAATAGGAAGAATAAGAGGTGAGGAAAGGCTAACAGCATGGAGTCAGGCTGGAGAGACACATAAGGCCAATAAGTACAAGTACTCTCACCATGATGCCCGGGCTGGTCTCGAGCTCCTGGACTCAGGCAATCCTCCAGCCCCAGCCTCCTGAAGTGCTGGGATTACAAGCATAAACCACTATGCCCAGCTTTACATTTGATTTTAAAACACATATTCCAATTTTCTCCAAAATGAATTATTTCTGAAATAAAGTCTGATTTAGAAACTGATCCATTTGGCTGGGCAGGGTGGCTCACACCTGTAATCCCAGCACTTTGGGAGGCCAAGGTGGGTGGATCACTTCAGGACAGGAGTTCGAGACCAGCCTGACCAGCATGGTGAAACCCCGTCTCTTATAAAAATACAAATATTAGCCAGGCGTGGTGGCACATGCCTGTTGTCCCAGCTACTCCGGAGACTGAGAATCGCTTGAACCCAGAGGTGGAGGTTGTAGTGAGCCGAGATTGTGCCACTGCTCTACAGCAGGGCAGACAAAGTGAGGCCTTGTCTCAAAGTTTTTTTGATATTAGATTGCTGTGATTTTTGGGCATATAACTCAGAGTTCAAAGAATTTAATGCCATTGCAATGAAGAAACGCTTTCTATTCCCATATAATTATTTTTAGATACAGAATCTCACTTTGTTGCCTAGGCTGAAGTACAGTTGATACAGGAGTTAAGAATAAATTACTTAGGCAGCTAGTAAGGGAATGGGAGTCCTTAGTAAGGCTTTTCTTTTCTTTTTTTTTTTTTTTTTTTTTTTTTTTTTGAGACGGAGTCTCGCTCTGTCCCCCAGGCTGGAGTGCAGTGACGCAATCTCGGCTCACTGCAAGCTCCGCCTCATGGGTTCACGCCATTCTCCTGCCTCAGCCTCCCGTGTAGCTGGGACTACAGGCGTCCACCACACATGGCTAATTTTTTGTATTTTTAGTAGAGACGGGGTTTTACTGTTTTAGCCAGGATGGTCTCGATCTCCTGACCTTGTGATCTGCCTGCCTCGGCCTCCCAAAGTGTTGGGATTACAGGCGTGAGCCACCGCTCCCAGCCTCTTTTTTATTTTTTGGAGACAGAGTCTCACTCTGTCACCCAGGCTGGAGTGCAGTGGCACGACCTCAGCTCACTGCAACCTCCGCCTCCCAGGTTCAAGCAGTCAGGATTTTCTTTTTAATAAAAAGCAGCCCCAAATCATTTTCTAACAAAGAGCAGCCTGTAAAATCCAGCCGCAGACACAGACAAGCAAGCTGGGAGCTTGCACAGGGGAACGCTGGCAGGAACTAGGAACTAGACATGTTCAAGATGGCGGCTCCATCTCCCCTTTTCTGCCAGCCACAGTACAGTAAGAAGCAGACAAGATGGCGCGGATCAACTGGAAAGTCTATTTGCATAATAAGATTAGGGTTAGGCAACCAGCCTTCCCTGCCATCATACCTGATGGAACCAATCTGTGAGGCCTATGTAAATCGGACACCACTTCCTCAAATCTAACTATTACATTTGGGGCATCTGGCAGGGCTCGGTGGCTCACGCCTGAAATCCCAGCACTTTGGGAGGCCGAGGCAGGTGGATCATCTGAGGTCAGAAGTTCAAGACCAGCATTACCAATATGGTGAAACCCTGTCTCTACTAAAAATAAAAAAATTAGCCGGATGTGATGGTGGGCACCTGTAGTCCCAGCTACTCGGGAGGCTGAGACAGGAGAATTGCTTGAACCCAGTAGCTGGAGGTCGCAGTGGGTCGAGATGGAGCCACTGCACTCCAGCCTGGGCCACAGAGTGAGATTCCTCTCAAAAAAGAAAAAAAAAAAATTGGTGTATTCACCACCCCTGGGTCTTTGCCACTTGGAGACTCCTTCCTCTGTAGAGGAAGCTGTTTCTCTTTCTTTTCTTCCTTTTAAACCTCTGCTCTTAAACTCCTTGTGTCTGTGTCCTAAATTTTCCTGGCACACGACAGTGAACCCCAGGGTATATACCCCAGACAAAACGTAGCCGATTCACAGTGACCTGATCATAGCTCACTGTAACGCTGGAATCCTGGTCTCAAGCAATCCTATCACCTCAACCTCCTGAGTAGCTAGGACTACAGGCATGTGCCACCATACCTGGCTACTTTTTTTTTTGATAGAGGCAGTGTCTCTATATTGCCCAGGCTGGTATTGAACACTTGGCCTCAAGCAATCCTCTTGCCTCCCAAAGTGCTGGGATTATAGGTGGGAGCCACTACGCCCAGCCTCTCAGGTACTTTTTATGTGAAGATTGTTTCTCAGCACTAATATCTCTAGAAGTAATTACTGTTAAGAAAAAGCATTCAAAACTTTGTTGTTGTTGTTTTGTTTTGTTTTGTTTTGTTGAGACAGGGTCTCACTCTCTTGCCCAAGCTTGAATGCAGTGGCTTGATCACAGCTCACTGTAGCCTGTGATCGACCTCATAGGCTTATGCTATCCTCCCACCTCAGCCTCCCAAGTAGCTGGGACTACAGGTGCATGCCACTAGCCCAGCTAATTTTTGTATTTTTTTTTGTGGAGATGGGGTTTCACCATGTTGGCCAGGCTGGTCTTGAACTCCTGACCTCATGATCCACTCGCCTCGGCCTCCCAAAGTGCTGAGTTTACAGGTGTGAGCCACCACGTCCTGCCTGTCATATATTTCTTTAGTATTTCATCATGTTGCCCAGGACGGTCTTGAACTCCTGAGCTCAAGCAACCCACCAGCTTCGGCCTCCCAAAGTGCTGGGATTATAGGTGTGAACCACCTTGCATAGGAGTTCAAAACTTTTAATGTAATTGTAGAGCATTTTTGTAACAAGCCTGTCTAAAGTTACCTGACACCAAGAGTTTTTTTTTTTTATTGTTAATTACGATCCAGACATTTTACAACTTTATAGAGTTGAATTTTAATTTATAGGACACTAATTATATGTGAATGATTTCTTTCCTAAGGGGAAGATAATCTCAAATGTTATGACTTTATTGACTGTAAGTCATTAACCAGTTTTATATCTGATTTAGCAATCTTACTTTAGTATTCCTTTTTGTCACTGACAATATGTATGTATGCAAGTTTTTGTATCCTTTGAATTGGTTTGTCTTCTTGCTGGTCTTTGTTAATGAATTAATTAAAATGTTGGTATGTGTTCAGAATCTGTTTGAGAGTTATGTTTTTAATTTTTTTTTTTTTTTTGAGACAGAGTTTCTGTCTTGTTACCCAGGCTGGAGTGCAATGGCATGATCTTGGCTCAATCCTGACCTCAGGTGATCCACCCGCCTTGGCTTCCCAAAGTACTGGGATTATATGTATGAGCCACGTGCCTGGCCAAGTTTTTAACATTTTTGAAACTGCCATTGCAGAATTGTAACTGAGACAGTGAAAGGAATCTGACCTAGCCAACTCCCTCTTGCATCTAACTTCCAAGCTGTCCTTGTTCATTCCTGGGTGTATGCCCGAACTAACTTTGGAGGAACTTAGTTTATAGTTTAACTTTGAAACAAAGACGATTACAGCCCTTTTCCAAAACAAACCCCCTCTTCCTTGGGGACTAGACTGCCTTTGTAGGACTAACAAAGTAGTCAAAGGATTAGAAATTATGGTTTAGGTGGAGTCATGCAGCTGGAGGCTATAAGATTCTGACCCTCCCCAAATTGCCCCTGGGGATAACATCATTATTATAAAACCTCACATCAGTGCTTGAGATATTTTGCAGACCCTGCACTTGATGGATCAGCTGGCACCACCCAGATCGATAAAATGGCTAATCTGGTCTTGAGGTCCCCACCCAGGAACTGACTCAGCAAAAGAAGACAGCTTTGACCACCTATGATTTCATCTCCAACCAAGCCAATCAGCAGTCCCAACTCACTGGCCTCCCCCACCCTCCAAATTATCCTTAAAAATTCTGATCCCAGAATGCTTGGGGAGACTGATTTGAGTAATAATAAAACTCCAGTCTCCTGTACAGATGGCTGTACATGAATTACTCTTTCTCTATTGCAATTCCCCTTTCTTGATAAATCAGCTCTTGTAGGGGTGGGTTGCCCCTCCACACCTGTGGGTGTTTCTCGTAAGGTGGAACGAGAGACTTAGGAAAGAAAAAGACACAGAGACAAAGTATAGAGAAAGAAATAAGGGGACCCGGGGAACCAGCGTTCAGCATATGGAGGATCCCGCCAGCCTCTGAGTTCCCTTAGTATTTATTGATCATTCGTGGGTGTTTCTCGAAGAGGGGGATGTGTCAGGGTCACAAGACAATTGTGGGGAGAGGGTCAGCAGACAAACACGTGAACAAAGGTCTTTGCATCATACACAATGTAAAGGATTAAGTGCTGTGCTTTTAGATATGCATACACATAAACATCTCAATGCTTTACAAAGCAGTATTGCTGCCCGCAGGTCCCACCTCCAGCCCTAAGGCGGCTTTTCCCTATCTCAGTAGATGGAGCATACAATCGGGTTTTATACCGAGACATTCCATTGCCCAGGGACCGGCAGGAGACAGATGCCTTCCTCTTGTCTGAACTGCAAGAGGCATTCCTTCCTCTTTTACTAATCCTCCTCAGCACAGACCCTTTACGGGTGTCGGGCTGGGGGACGGTCAGGTCTTTCCCTTCCCACGAGGCCATATTTCAGACTATCACATGGGGAGAAACCTTGGACAATACCTGGCTTTCCTAGGCAGAGGTCCCTGCGGGCTTCCGCAGTTTTTGTGTCCCTGGGTACTTGAGATTAGGGAGTGGTGATGACTCTTAAGGAGCATGCTGCCTTAAGCATCTGTTTAACAAAGCACATCTTGCACCGCCCTTAATCCATTCAACTCTGAGTTGACACAGCACATGTTTCAGAGAGCACGGGGTTGGGGGTAAGGTTATAGATTAACAGAATCTCAAGGCAGAAGAATTTTTCTTAGTACAGAACAAAATGGAGTCTCCTATGTCTACTTCTTTCTACACACACACAGTAACAATCTGATCTCTCTTGCTTTTCCCCACAAGCTCTGTCTAGGCAGCGGGCAAGGTCAACCCATTGGGTGGTTACAAAGTGGGCACAGGAAGATTGTGGATTATGTGAGTTATCTGCACAGGAGGGCTATGTGTCCTGGACCATGAAGAAAGGCAGACTTAGGGCTTATCTGCCTTGTCTTTTTGCTTTTCCCTGCTCCGCCAGCCTAACGCCTTTTCCCTAATTCGGACTCCACAATTAGGTTAAGATTCTGTGGGTGTGTTGCGGTAAACTGAGGAACAGAGAGACTGATATGGGAAACCAGGAGGATATTTATTTTAAGGTACACACCAGCTCAGTGGATTCACATCCAAAAACCTGAGCCTTGAACAAAGACAGAGCAGGGTTTTTATAAGCAGGCTTACAAAAGCAAAACAAAGGCAGTTAATCATACAGTGCATAACTTGTGGCCTTGCATAGCTGGTGGCCTTGTAGCTGCGTCGAAAGAAAAACAAGAACTGGCTAAATACAGACATTTGTAAAACATAGTCATGCTTAAGAAGCCAGGGAAAGGAGTAACAGTAAAGGAATTTGTCTTCCTCTCTTTTTTTTTCCGTCAACCTTGCTCTGGAGGGAGGGGGTGGTGTCTGGAGCCCATTCCTTTGGCCTTGGTTTTTCTGAGTGTTATCTTATAACTGTCCTTGAAGTGAGCTGCTAAGCAGAGGAAAACTTGTTCTTCTTTTCTTTTTCTTTTTTTTGAGACAGAATCTTGCTCTGTCACCAGACTGGAGTGCAATGGCATGATCTCGGCTCACTGCAACCTCTGACTCCTTGGTTCAAGGGATTCTCCCACCTCAGCCTCCCGAGTAGCTGGGATTACAGGCACACACCACCACACTCAGCTAAGTTTTTGTATTTTTAGTAGAGACAGGGTTTCACCATGTTGGCCAGAATGGTCTCGATCTCCTGACCTCATGATCCACCCACCTCGGCCTTCCAAAGTGCTGGGATTACAGGCGTGAGCTACCATGCCCTGCCTTCTTCTTTTCTTTTTTAACCCTTGCCTTGCCACATTCTGGGCCTTAGCTTTTACTTTTCTTGGAGTGAATAAATGCAGCACTTATTATTTTTTAATTTCTGGCTCAGGTGGAGTGAAAGAAATACAAGTTCAAAGGGAAACGAAATGATGTAAAATTTCCAGCTATTAACAAGGACTTGTGCATGTATTAGTTTTAAGTGGATAATCTGGGTATCAAATTTCTGTCGTATTTAAAGTGTAGTGTATACATATTGAAAAGTGAGGCCGGGCGCGGTGGCTCACGCCTGTAATCCCAGCACTTTGGGAGGCCGAGGAGGGCAGATCACGAGGTCAGGAGATCGAGACTATCCTGGCTAACACGGTGAAACCCCGTCTCTACTAAAAATACAAAAAATTAGCCGGGCGTGGTGGTGGGCGCCTGTAGTCCCAGCCACTCGGGAGGCTGAGGCAGTAGAATGGCGTGAACCTGGGAGGCGGAGCTTGCAGTGTGCCGAGATAACGCCATTGCACTCTGGCCTGGGTGACAGAGCAAAAATCTATCTCAAAAAAAAAAAAAAATCACTCCTTGTTATACATGGTGTCCATTCCCCATTCGTATTTTATTATTATTATTTTTTTGAGACAGAGTCTCGCTCTGTTGGCCAGGCTGGAGTGCAGTGGCGCAATCTTGGCTCACTGCAACCTCCGCCTCCCGGGTTCAAGCAATTCTCATGCCTCAGCCTCCTGAGTAGCTGGGAGTACAGGTGCATGCCACCACGCCCAGCTAATTTTTGTATTTTTATTAGAAATGGGGTTTCACCATGTTGGCCAGGCTGGTCTTGAACTTCTGATCTCAGATGATCCACCCACCTCAGCCTCCCAAAACGCTAGGATTACAGGCATAGCCACCATGCCCAGCCACCCCATTCATATTTTAAAGTCCTAATCCAAGTACTTCAGAATGTGACTGCATTTGGAGATGAGGTCTTTAAAGAGGTAATGACGTTAAAATGAAGTCATATAGGTGGGCCCTAATGCAATAGCACAAGCATCCTTATCAGAAGAGGAGGTTGGGACATAGTTGAACACGGAGGGAAGACCACTGGAAGACACAGGGAGAAGTAGGCCATCTACAAGCCAAGGAGAGAGGCCTCAGAAGAAACCAATCATGTTCTCAGACTTCTAGCCTCCAGACTTAGAAAACAAATTTTTGTTGTTTAAGCTACCCTGTCTGTGTTACTTAGTTATGGCAGCCCTAGCAAATGAATTCACTCCTTTTCACCCCCATCATTACTACCATGGTCTAAACCATCAGCATTTGTTGCCTAGACACTTTCAGTGTAAGATCCACCATCGGGATGGCGCTTTTATCTGTCTTCTTGTTCACTGATATGCCTTCAAAACCTAGTATATTGAATGTCATGAAGATATTGTGAAAGAGGCCAGGCTCGGTGGTTCACACCTGTAATCCTAGCACTTTGGGAAGCTGAGGCGGGTGGATCACCTGAGGTCAGGAGTTCGATACCAGCCTGGCCAACATGGTGAAACCCCGTCTCTACTAAAAATACAAAAATTAGCTCGGCATGGCAGTGTGCACCTATAACCCCAGCTACTTGGGAGGCTGAGGCAGGAGAATCACTTGAACGCTGGAGGCAGAGGGGTTGCAGTGAGCCAAGGTCTTTTTTTTTTTTTTTGAGACAGAGTCTTGCTCAGTCACCCAGGCTGGAGTGCAGTGGCGTGATCTCAGCTCACTGCAAGATCCACCTCCCAGGTTCACGCCATTCTCCTGCCTCAGCTTCCTGAGTAGCTGGGACTACAGGCACCCGCCACCACGCCTGGCTAATTTTTTTTGTATTTTTAGTAGAGATGGGGTTTCACCATGTTAGCCAGGATGGTCTCGATCTCCTGGCCTCATGATCCACCCGCCTCAGACTCCCAAAGTGCTGGGATTACAGGCGTGAGCCACCATGCCCGGCTGCCAAGGTCTTGCCACTGCACTCCAGCCTGGGTGACAAAGCAAAACTCTGTCTTAAAAAAAAAAAAAGGATATTGTAAAAGAAAGAAAGAAAAAACAAAACCTAGTGTATAGGACCTGGTGTGTGTGTGTGTGTGTGTATTATATACATGTGGTGTATGTATATATATATATATAAATATATATAGCCATCCCACAAGTATTTATTGAATATATATGTATATATATAATGTCTGAGGTCCAAAAGTAGTACAAAGGAAGGGGTGATTAAATTATCTCCAAGTAAGTTGGATGGGATGACAGGATGTGTAGGAAGGAATTTTCTAGATTAGGAAGGGGTATTGAGGAAGTCACCTAAGAAAGAGACAAAGGCTTGGGCAAAAATGCTGAGATTTAAAGCAATTTCTGAGAACTCTAAGTCATTCCGTGTGGCCAGAGCACAAGGACCAAGGGGATTAGTTGGTTGAAAATAAAGTTGAAGATAAAAGAATTTAATCATATTTGCTAAGGAGGTTGGATTTTATCCTGTAGTACAATCAATATCACTGACTTTTTTCCAGTTTTTCCATTTAGATCTGTTTTGTACTTTATTATCCACGAATACCTGGAGAAGTCATTTAACCTTGCTGAGTTTCAGTTTTCTCTTCTGTTGAATGGTTGATGAGACATGAGATAATATATGGAAGTTACCTCAGAAGGTTCCCGGAATATAGCAGGTGCTTAACAAACACTAGTTCCCTGCCATTCAGCCCATATAACCAGGTTGATTTCAGCACCATGGTTACTGGTCAGTCCAGAGAGAGTACAGTTCCAATTTCGGACACAAGAGGGAGTATGAGACTTACCTTTGCCGAAGGTCACAGGCTTGCCTAACAGCCTCCCTTACTTAGCAAGCCCTCCAGGAAAGACAAATAGGAGACATTCTTCCAAAATTAGAAAGGCATCTGTCTTATTTTTGTTTTTCTGAGAAACAGAGGGTCTCACTCTGTCACCCAGGCTGGAGTGCAATGGTGCAATCACTCCTCAACCTCCCTGGGCTCAGGTGATCCTCCCACCTCAGCCTTCTAAACAGCTGGGACTACAGGTGCACCTGTAGGTCACCACACCCAGCTGACTTTTGTATTTTGTAGAGATGGGGTTTCGCTATGTTGCCCAGGATGGTCTCAAACTCCTGGGCTCAAGCAATCCCCCTGCCTCGGCCTCCAAATCACAGGGATTACAGGCATGAGCCACCGCACCCGGCCTACTCTGACTTGTTTTATAGATACTAAGCCATTGGTAACCGTTCTTCATTCCCTGGACACATATTTGAAGGTGGACTCATTGGCAAGCATAATGTACTTAGTTATCATGCTGAAAGTAGCTGATGTTATTCAATAGTCTAGTATGCACCACCTATTTTACATACATTATCATCTTTAATTTAACTCTCAATGAGCCAGTGAAATAATCCTTATCCTCATTTTACAGATAAGCAACCTATGGTCTAGAGAAATTCAATCACATAATTAGTGAATGGTAAAAGTTGGATTTGAACCCAGAACTGCCTGTTTCCAAAACTTAAGTTTATTATATTATATTAATTAATTAATTTAATGTATTTATGTATTTGAGATAGGGTCTCACTCTGTTGCCCAGGCTGCAGTGAAGTGGCACAATCAGGGCTCACTGCAGTCTCGACCTCCTGGGCTCAAGTTAACCTCCCACCTCAGCCTCCTGAGTAGTTGGGACTCTAGGTACGTGCCACCAAGCCTGGCTAATTTTTTTTATTTTTAGTCAACATGGGGTTTCGTCATGTTGCCCAGACTGGTCTTGAACTCCTGGATTCAAGCAATCTGCCCACTTTGACCTCCCAAAGTGCTGGGATTACAGATGGAAGCCACCGCACCCCGACGATTATACTTATTTTAATTCAATTCCCTCATTTAACAGAGGTCATCCAGAAAGGGGTCTGGTCAGTGGTGGATGATGTGAGACCAAGGAAGAACTTTGTGCCTAGGGTGAGCACAATTTTTTTTTTTAAGATGGAGTCTAGCTCTGTCACCCAGGCTGGAGTGCAGTGGCACAATCTAGGCTCACTGCAACCTCTGTCTCTTGGGTTCAAGTGATTCTCGTGCCTCAGCCTCCCACGTAGCTGGGACTACAGATGCACGCCACCATGCCAGGCTAATTTTTGTATTTTTAATAGAGATGAGGTTTCACCATGTTGTTCTGGCTGGTCTCGAACTCGTGAGCTCAAGAGATCCTCCCACCTCGGCCTCCCAAAATGCTGGGATTACAGGCATGAGCCACTGTGCCCAGCCAAGGGGGGAAGGTTCTAGTTAGTTGTTTACCCGTTGTCTTGCCCTGGGAAAACCACTTGTTCTCTCTGCATCTTAATTTCCTAAATCATCTCTAAAATGGATTGATTCTTTTTCATCCATCAGGTCTCAACTAAAATGTCACTTCCTCAGAGAGGCTGTCCCTGTTTAATCATCCTAAGATAATCATCTCTTCGGCATATTTCCTTAAATATGGTTATCACCATCTGAAATTATCATAGATAATTTGTGTACTTATTGTTTGTCTCTTCTCTGCAGATTCCTAATTTCTGTCTGAGCAGAGGTTCTGCCTGTTTAGTTCACGTTTGTGTACTCTGTGCTTAGTACAATGCTTGGCACATACTAAGTGATCAACACATCTTTGTGCAATGAATGAACGAATAATATAATGATGAAGAACTAGGACCAGAGGGTGGAAGCTACAAACAGGCAGATTTTAGCAGAGGACTTTACTAACAATAAGGGTTATCCCAAGGCAAGGTGGTCTGCCCTAGAGAAGGTGGTCTCCCCATCCTTGGAAGTGAGCAGATTAGGGCTATAGAGGGGGCCCCATGTTGGTTTGGTGGAGGGTTGATTTGAGGTTCCTCTGGCTCCTCATTAAAACCTTGATTAAGTTTTAAACTAATACTCCGATAACAGGATGCTATCCAGTCATTGTGTTAAATTATGGAATGGGTATTCTCTCTGTTTAATAACTGGAATAAAAGAGGCCCAAAGGGCCAGGGAAGCAGACACAGGGGACGGATAGTGCTAGATTCTGCTTCTGGGCTCTGTGGGAGAGGCCTGACTGAGACAGTAATGGCCTCTATTAAATTTAAATACAATAAATAAAGTATAATAATTATTTCCAGAGCAGTTGCTGCTTTTACCACCATTCCCCTTCTTCTGGCCCCTCTGTCCCCATGACTGTCTCTTTTGTTCTCTTTCACACAGCAAATGACACTACCCAAGTTAGAAAGCTCTCCTGGTTGCCTCAATTTTCTTTTGCCTCATCTACATCCAATCAGTCACCAAATCTTGTTTCTTTCATGTCCCAGTGCATTTCCCAGCTCAGGTCTTATAATCTCTCTTTCTTTTGTTGTTGTCGAGGTGGGGTCTCGCTTTGTTGCCCAGGCTGGTCTCAAACTCATGGATTCAAGCGGTCCTCTGGCCTCAGCCTCCTGAATAGCTGCGACTGTAGGCGCATGCCACTGTTCCTAGCTATTTTGTTTTGTTTTGTTTTTTGGAGGTAGAGTCTTGCTCTGTCGCCCAGGCTGGAGTGCATGATCCTGGCTCACTGCAACCTCTGCCTCCTGGATTCAAGTGATTCTCTTGCCTCAGCCTCCCAAGCAGCTGGGACTACAGGCTTGTGCTACCACGCCCGGCTAATTTTTTGTATTTTTAGTAGAGACGGGTTCTCACCATGTTGCCCAGGCTGGTCTTGAACTCCTGAGCTCAGGAAATCTGCCCACCTCGGCCTCCCAAAGTGCTGGCATCACAGACATGAGCCACTGCACACAGCCAGCTGAGCTATTTTGAAGTCACTCCACCAGCATTTTCTCTGGTGTCCCTGCTCCCAGTATCTTGGAACCTCCAATTCAATCCCTATTGTGCAGGCTATAAGATCTTTTTAAAACACAACTTTTGCCAAGTCTTCCCCTCGGATAAAGGCCTGTAACAGCCCTGCACTGCCCTGATCATGGAATCCATTGTGCTTAGCATGGCCACCGAGGCCTTGCCTGACCTCTGGCTCCGACTTAGCTCTTCTGCCTCACTCATCACTTGCTGCTCTGCCCATTATGCCTATGCTTCTAGAGACTCCAAGTTCTCTGAAGACTTCACATTATTTCACACCCTTTGGGCCTTTGTTCATGCTGGCCCATCTGCCTAGGTGGCTTCTCCATGCATTTAACTCCTACTTTTCCTTGGGGCTCAGTTTAATTAATTCTTAAGTCTACATCCCAGGACCTAGCACGGGGCCAGGTCTAACATCTCAGGTTCCTCTCTGCTGATCTGTCCCACTGTGAGAAAATAGTCATGTCTCACCAAATCTCTTATTGTGGCTAATTTGAGTCCTGGTTTTCCTTGCTTTCAGTAGCTAAGAAACCATGGGCCAGTTACTACTTGCTCACATCTAAGATGGCATGAATCAGTCCCAACTTCACAGGTTCATTGTGAAAGTTAAATGAGATGGCAGATATGAGAAGAAATCCTTTGTTAATACTTATGTACTTATTTATTCAGCATCAGTATAAGTATTTAATATTTATATACTTATCCCTGAGCTCTTCTAAGAATGGTTTAGGAGGCCCTGTGTTGGGTACTAGTATGGCCTTTCCTCTTGTGGAGTACAGATTAGTGGATCTTATAGTCTACTGTCCTGCACCAGACACTGAGTTCCTTGGGTCAGGGACCATATGTTATTCGTCTCTGCACAGCAGGTGTTCGGGAGATATTTGCTAGCTGGGTGAGTGAACCAGCGATTTATTGAATAAATGACTGAATGGCATTCTAGGTAGAGAGAAAAAAACAGATGCAAATTCACAAAGATGTTATGGAGCAGGCCACATTCAAAGAACTGCAAGTAGTTTAATGTCGTGGGAGCTCAGGGTGTGAAGGGGGTGTGACCAGCAGTGAGGCTGGAGGGTAGATGAGACCAGATCACCAGGGGCCATTAGGCTTATTAAACAGATAAGCTTCTGAGTAGGGCAATGGGAGGTTTCAAGCTGGCTTTAGGAAGCGTCCTATGTTGCAGTGTGGAGTGCGGACTAACGGCAGATTGGAGGCTATTGCAGGAGCAGGATAGTGAGGAGACTGTGGCTATGGAATGAAGAGTTCCTGGGAAGTAGAATGGGCTGGGCTTGGTGAAGCATTGGCAGGGTTGGGGTGGGGAGGGAGGGGTGGTGGGTGGTACCGGGGTTCTGACCATTCACATGTTGAATGTTTCCCCTGTGTGTGTCTCAGATTCCACCCCTGCTGACAGTGTGTGCCCTGGCGATGGAGCAGTGTCCTTGTTGCAGATTTGAACCACTTTCACCTCGTAAACAGCAGCTGGTGAGAGGAATGGACTTGCACATTCATTCGTTTTACAAATGAAGAAACTGAAGCACAGAGAAGGAAGGAATGATTTGTGCAGGAGGTGGTATTTGAGATACTCATCATTTTCTCTCATTACCCACATTTGTTTCTACTCCTGTAGTAGTTTGGTTAAAGGCAATAGACTCCTTGTTCCTTATATTGTGCCTTTTTGTGATGTGACTTCGCTCTTCTTCCCAATCAAAAGTGGAATTTATTTCTTCCACCCCTTAAATCTGGACTGGGCTTGTGACTTGATTTGGTTAATATAATGCAGCATATGTGAGGTCGTGCGATTTCTAAGGCTTGGTCTTTAGAGATTGTGTCTTCTGCCTTTATACTCTTGGAATGCTGCCTTGAGACCACCATGTAAGCTGGTCTAGCCTACTAGTGGATGAGAGGTCACATGCAGAAAAACTGGGGTGCCAGTCCTCAGCTGGCACTGATTGCCAGACTTATGAATAAGGACATCTTAGACCTTCCAGGCCAGCAGCCCTTCCAACTGAATGCAGCTCCTGAATGATCGCAGGTGAAACCAGCAAAGGAGGCAGTTAGCCACTCACAGAATTATGAGAAATAGTGAATTATTGCTGTTTTAAGCCACTAAACTTTTGGGAGTGTTTTTTAAATGCAGCAATAGATAACAGAAACAACTTCTTTGCTTCCTGTTTCAGTAAATGGTTTTATTATCTACCTGGTTGTTTAGGCTGGTGCCCTTTTCTTTATATCTCACATTTAATCTGTCACCAAGTCCAGGGAACTTTACCTCCTAAATATATATCAAATCCCTCTGCTTTCTACCTTTCCCATTGCTATGACATTAGCTCAGGTCCTAGTCATCTCTTATCTAGATTATTACAGCAATCTCTATTGTTTTCTCTGTCTCCTATCTCTCTGCTCCCTATCCTTCCCATCCAATCTGTTGTATTCCCCTGCCACAGGCAGAGCTATCTTTCTCACAAGAATATGTAACCATGTTACTCCATTGCTTAAAATCTTTTTGTTTGCAAGGTAAGCTCCCAAATCCCTAATATGATGTACAAGGCCTTGGACCATCTGGCCTCTTCTTCTCTTTCCTCCCCGATCTTCCATCACTCCTCTCATTGAATCCTACATTTCTCAGCTGTTTCACAGGTACCTGCTTCAGCTACCCTATTGCATGGAGCAATCTATTGAATGGGTTGGATGGAAATGTCTGACCTGTCAACACATCTGAGTTCCTAAGCTGGCCATGAGGGACTCACACTAGGGTAAATATTCACCTTGTGAAAATTTGAACATTCCAAACGACATCCGCTTGTGCCATTTTCTAAGCCACTGATTATCATTCAATAAAAAGCTGACACCTGCGATCTTAGCTTCTTGGAAGGCTGAGGTGGGAGGATTGCTTGAGACCAGGAGTTCAAGATCAGACTGGGCAATATAGGAAGACCGCCCCCCCCCCCAACCCTAATAACAACAACAAAAGAGCATCAATTCTATACTTCTTATAAAACTAGGAGTTGGAGAAGGCTGATTACTCTGGCAACTACAAAAGGAAATTTTGTTGTAGGACTCTATTATTTATTTATTTATTTATTTTTGAGACAGGGTCTCTCTCTGTCACCCAGGCTGGTATGCAGTGGCATGCTCTTGGCTCACTGCAATCTCTGCCTCCCAGGTTCAAATGATTCTCTTGCTTCAGCCTCCCGAGTAGCTGGGACTACAGGCGTGCACTACCATGCCCAGCTAATTTTTTGTATTTTTAGTAGAGATGGGGTTTCACTATGTTGGCCAGGCTGGTCTCGAACTCCTGACCTCAGGTGATCTGCCCGCCTCGGCCTCCCAAAGTGCTGGGATTACAGGCATGAGCTACCGTGCCTGGCCTATTTATTTATTTTTTAAATATAGAGACAGGGTCTCTCCATGTTGCCCCAGCTGGAGTACAGTGGTTATTCACAGGCATGATCCCACTACTGATCAGCACAGAAGTTCTGGCCTGCTGTTTCTGACCTTGGCTGGTTCACTCCTCCTTGGGCAACCTGGTAGCCCCACACTCCTGGGAATTCACCATATTGATGCTGAACTTAGTGAGAACACCTGTTCTGCATAACACACATAACAGCCCAGAACTCCTGAGCTGAAATCATCCACCTGCCTCAGCCTCCCGAGTAGCTGGGACTACAGGCAGGTGCCATCTTGCCCTTGCAGGACTCTTAATCACAATGATGTTCACTGGGCAATCAAAATATAATTTTAGAGTCTAATAGAAAACGCCCTGTCCTTGGAGTCAGACAGACCTGCTATCTGGCTCTGCCACTTACCAGTTGTATGACCTTGGGCAAGTCACTTAAACTTTCTCAATTCTCTTTCCTTGTCTATAAAAAAGGGATGATAATCTATAACTTGCATAATTATATTGAGGATTAAATGAGATAAAAGATGTGAATAATCTTAGTGTAATTTAAAGATTCAATGAATATAATTGTTAACTAATCTGAGCCAAGACAAAAGGTAGAATTTTGTCTTCATTCAGGGGCCAGGTTCAGTGGCTCATGCCTGTAATTCCAGCACTTTGGGAGGCTGAGGCGGGGCAGATCACCTGAGGTCAGGAGTTTGAGACCAGCCTGACCAACATGGAGAAACCCCGTCTCTACTAAAAATACAAAATTAGCTGGGCGTGGTGGTACATGCCTGTAATCCCAGCAACTCAGGAGGCTGAGGCAGCCAAATCATTTGAACCCGGGAGGCGTAGGTTGCAGTGAGCCAAGATCACGCCATTGCACTCCAGCCTGGGCAACAAGAGCAAAACTCTATCTCAAAAAAAAAAAAAAAAGAATTTTGTTTTCCTTCCCATTCTTCCTTGGGCATTTGGATCTGGAAGTGAAGACAGTCCAGTATAATTTGATTTGTGTTGTTCTTCCCTCAGGTGGTTACCTTAGTCAATAAGAAGGTAGCTTATGAGGGCATAAATGATGCAACCCAAATGTCAGATGTGGCCTCTCTGCCTCCTTTTTTTTTTTTTTTTTTTTTGAGATGGAGTCTCGCTCTGTCGCCGAGGCTGGAGTGCAGTGGCGCGATCTCAACTCACTGCAAGCTCCGCCTCCAGGGTTCACGCCATTCTCCTGCCTCAGCCTCCCGAGTACCTGGGACTAAAGGCGCCCACCACGACGCCCGGCTAATTTTTTGTGTTTTTAGTAGAGACAGGGTTTCACCACGTTAGCCAGGATGGTCTTGATCTCCTGACTTCGTGATCCGCCCGCCTCGGCCTCCCAAAGTGCTGGGATTACAGGCATGAGCCACCGCCCCCGGCTTTTTTTTTTTTTTATTTGAGACCAAGTCTGACTCTGTCACCCAGGCAAGAGTGCAGTGGTGCGATCTTGGTTCACTGCAACCTCCGCCTCCCGGGTTCAAGCGATTCTCCTGCCTCAGCCTCCCAAGTAGCTGGGATTACAGTCACCTGCCACCATGCTGGCTAATTTTTTTGTATTTTTAGTAGAGATGGGGTTTCACAATGTTGGCCAGGCTGGTCTTGAACTCCTCACCTCAGGTGATCTGCCGACCTTGGCCTCCCAAAGTGCTGGGATTACAGGTGTGAGCCGCTGTCTGGCTGCCTCTCTGCCTCTTCAAGATCCAAATGCAATGGGCTTGAACCTCAATATTCACATTTCCCAACTCATGTAAGTGCAAAGTCCTACACAAGTTTTTGCAAGTTCCACAAGGGCTTGTGGTCTCACAGTTACCTCTGCTTCCAGTCTCCTTTTTCAACTGAGACCTAACAAAGCACATTGCTCAACTCCCTACTCATGTACTCTCACAATTCCCCTCTCTCAAAAAGCGTTCCTGGGTGTAATAGCCCTTCCTGAAGTCTTGAGAGTCACATAGGATGGTCACGTCCTAGTGTAACAAACAACTTATCCCATTTTAGGTATCCCACTGCTGAAACACTCTTGTCAACTACCATGGGAGAGTTTCTTCTGACTCTTTACCTATGTAGCACCTATCCTTACATTGATTTTCTTACTCATCTTTTTCCTTTTCCCCTCCGATCTCTATTAACTTGCCCTCCCATTTTGTCAAGTGAATTCCAAATTTGCCTTCCCCCAACCCTCCCACCCCCACCTTTTTTTTTTTTTTTTTTTTGAGATGGAGTTTCACTCTTGTTTCCCAGGCTGGAGTGCAACGGCGCAATCTCGGCTCATCGCAACCTCTGCCTCCTGCTACCCCTAATTTTGTTTAGATGGAGTCTCACTCTGTTGCCCATGCTGGAGTGCAGTAGCACAATCTCGGCTCACTGCAACCTCCGCCTCCCAGGTTCAAGTGATTCTCCCGCCTCAGCCTCCCGAGTAGGTGGGAGTACAGGCGCCCACCACCACGCCCGGCTAATTTTTGTATTTTTAGTGGAGACAGAGTTTTACCATGTTGGCCAGGCTGGTCTCGAACTCCTGGCCTCAGGTGGTCCCAAAGTGCTGGGATTGCAGACGTGGGCCATCATGCCCCACCTACCCCTACTCCCTTTTTAAACATAGAGAGCAATTTCTTCTCCCAAAGTTACGTATTCACTCTCATCAATTGAGGCCCCAAGCAGGACAAAAGGACTTTCTGTGCATTGGGATCTGTCATTCCTGGAAGGCAGTTGTGGTTTAAAAATAGCACTTTTTTTTTTCTGTTATACGAAGCACAGTGTTTCCTATTTGTTGAATGCTTACTGTATGCCTACCACTCTATCAAGTCCTCTCCAGTAGCTTGTGTTCTCATTTGATCTTCCCAACAACTCTGAGAAGCAGCTCTTATTATTGCTCTTTCTACAAATAAGGAAGGGGTGTGCGTGCGAGAGAAATTAGGTAATTGGCATAAGATCACACAGCAAGCAAGGACTGAAGACCAGGTCTGCCTGGCCCCAAGCCTGTGTGTGCCCTTTCTAATTTACTATACCGCCTTTCAGAGGAGGGAGAAGGAGAAAGCAACCAGAAGAACTGAGGCTACATAAAAGCAATACCATCTGTTCTCATATTGTCTCACAACTTTAAAAGGATGGCTCTATATGCTGTCTCATTATTCCTAGGAAGAAAGAATAATCATTATCATCTCGTCTATTTTGAAATGAGGGAAGTAGGGCCTTGTGAGAGAAAGAGAGTGAGGGAGCAGTTCAGCGTAGCATGTTTGATTTTGCTATTACAGAGGTACCAGCAGTGGGTGATTAAGAGCTCAAGAGTGACCATGGGAGCTGGTGGCCAAGGTGATGTGGAGGACAAGGACTGAGGGACCAGGAAATCTCATAGCTACTGAAGTCACCAGGAGGATGGCAGGACAGGGGCTAGTGAGGATGACCATGAGCCAGGGGCTGCAATCTGTAATGCATAAGGAGCAATTGGGGGGTCAGTGATGAGGAGGGGTTGAGGGGGGTATGGCTGGAGAGCACAGAAGAAAGAATTTTTGCACAAGGGTGGAAATGGCCATGCCATCCCCACATCCTAGTTTTATAGTATATGGGGAGTGGAAAAATGAGAAGCCTTCTAGCAGAGGGCAGCAAAGGAGGCAGTACCTGGAGGAGGCTCAGGCAAAGAAGTCACCTGAGTACTCTGAAGAAGCAGAGGGTATAGCAGAGTTTGTTGACAAAAGAACAGGATTCTAGAAGGCACAGAGGAAAGAGCTGCCAGTGTGATGGGCAGTGTGAGTGAAAGGGCTGGGCAAGAAGCTCAGAAGAGTAAGCGTCTGAGGCAGAGGCCAGACAAGCAGAGGAGCTGTCAGCTTGGGTGGTTCCTAGGCTGGAGATGTACACTGTAGACAGGGTCATAATGGAACTTGGGGGGAAAATGGTTTTGGTATTTGACTCAGACCTCTAAGATCTGAGATGGGGGAGAAGTGTGGGGAAAGACAATGATTCTAGAGCAAGCCTTCAGCTGGCTCCTGTGACCTCAGGAAGACTGGAAGTCCATATCAGGATTTGAGGGTGGGGTATTTATTGCCTCCTCTATCTGCCTCCTCTAGTGGAAGTGGGACTTCCTAGGGCCAGGCCAGGCAAGAACATTTTTCTACTCCTGTTGACAGCCTCCTGGTAATGGGAAACCATTGAGAGGTTTTTGTTTGTTTGTTTGTTTGGTTTTTGATGGAGTCTGGCTTTGTTGCCCAGGCTGGAGTGCACTGCTGGAGTGCAGTGATCTCGGCTCACTGCAACCTCTGCCTCCTGGGTGCAAGCAATTCTGCCTCAGCCTCCCAAGTAGCTGGGACTACAGGCATGCACCACCATGCCCGGCTAATTTTTGTATTTTTAGTAGAGACAGGGTTTCACCATGTTGGCCAGGTTGGTCTCGAACTCCTGACCTCAAGTGATCTGCCCACTTTGGCCTTCCAAAGTGCTGGGATTACAGGCGTCAGCCACTGTGCCTGGCCGAGAGTTTTCTTAAACAAGGTTGATGGTAACATGGTGACATTTTTTAAAGGGTTGCTCGGGCTTGTGTCAAAATGATTTTGGTATCTGACTCAGAATGAATGGGACCAGGAAGTCTCACAGCTACCGAAGTCACCAGGAGTATGGCAGAACAGGGGCTAGTTAGGATGACCATGGGCCAGGGGCTGCAATCTTTAATGCATAAGGAACAATTGGGTGTCAGTGATGAGGAGGGGTGGAGGGTGGTATGACTGGAGACCACAGGAGAAAGAATTTTTGTACAAGGGTGGAAATGGCCATGCTGACACCACGTCCTGGTTTTATAGGGTGAATTGGAGAGTGAAGGCAGGAATTAGGAAGCTGTTGCATTAGTCCAAGCAAGAAGTGATGATGCTGGAGTCAGAACAAGGGCAATGGAGACACAGAGGAAGGGCAGGGATATGTTAAGGCGGTGGGATGTGGGGTGTGAAGGAAACACAGATAGGGTAGAGGACAGCGTCCAGGTTTCTGGCTTGGTTTCCGCTTGTAGTCAGCCTCCCTCTCTGGGCTTTTGTGAAGACGGAGCCATAGAACGGACCGGACCAGAAAGCAGTTTGGAAATGGCAAAACTGCTACCCATCATCAGCTACATTATCATCAAAGCTCTCTAATTACCCTAGTAAGTTCAGTCAATGGAACGAGGCATGACAATTAAGATAAATCACGAGAGTCACCCAGACATGGGGGACCTGGAGGTCCTGAGTCACCTCGGATTACACCTGCTAGGAGTTGAGGGCCGGGGCGGGGCGAACACAGACTCCGCCCTTGGGCGGGGCCTGGATGCGGCCGGAGCGGAGCAGTGCTGGAGCGGGAGCCTCAGCCCTCAGGCGCCACTGTGAGGACCTGACCGGACCAGACCATCCCGCAGCGCCCCGCCCCGGCCCCCTCCGCGCCCTCCCGACGCCAGGTCCTGCCGTCCCGCCGACCGTCCGGGAGCGAACCCGTCGTCCCGCACTCGGAGTCCGCGGTAAGGGGCGCGGCCCCGGCAGCCCGCCCGCGGAGGATCAGGGACCGATCCCCGGCGCGGGGCGCTGGGCACCGAGAGCGGGCGCCGAGAAGGAGCGCGGGGCAGCGGAAGGAAGCCGGGGGAGGAGCGAGGGAGGGGGCTCCGCGGCGGCAGAGGTGGGGCTCACCTAGGGAGGGGGCGCCGAGGGGGTCTCCCAGACGTTGGGGGCAGCCGGGGGAGCTCCAAGGGCGGGAGGGGAGCAAGAAAGACGGCGCTGGGGCTGGGAGGAGAGATGGGGGGCAACTGGAGGGCAGTGAGGGATCGCTGGGGGAAACGGGGGCGTGGGGGGCGGGGGAGCTGCGAGGAGGGCGGAGTGGGGCTGTGCGGAAAGGTGGTACCGGGCAGCCGAGGGGCAGCGAAGGGGGCGGTGAAGGGAGCGGACTGAGGGGAGCTAGAGCGGGGGTGCGGGGGGAGGCATGGAGGTGAGGAGCTGAGGGGAGGGGACTGGCTGGGCGGGGGTCGTTTGGAGCTGGAGGGGACTGAGGTGCCGAGGGCAAGGGGCGCTGGGCAGCTGGGGAGTGTCTGGTTGGGAGAGGGTCGGGGGTGGGGATGTGGGTATGGATAGCTGGGAAGGAGAAAGGCAGCAGGGCAGTGTCTGGTCGAAAGAGGGTCATTTATGGGGGATGTGGGTATGGATAGCTGGGGTCGGAGGTTGAGCCCGGCTGGGGACCGGCGTGGGGGTAACTGTAGATGGAAGACGAGGGGTGGGGCTTGGGGGCGGGAAGCTTGGGAGAATGGAAGGGTGAGAGGCCAGGTTGGGTCTACCCTGCTGCAGAGGAAGGGGGCAGGGAGCCGGTGGAGACACAGGGAAGTGGCCTTGGAAATGGACACAGGGGCCTACATTCTGGTCAGGAGTGGAGAGGAGGCTCTGGAATAGAGTAGGGTCTGGCGGCTGCAAGTGGAGGAATCGTGGGAGAACTTGGAGTGTATAGATAGGGTGGTGGGGCGCTGGGTCAGCCTGGGGAGGAGGCCAGGTGTGGGTCGTGGTGTAAGGGTGGAAAGGTAATGGGGGCTGGAGTGGTGTCCACGCACTAGCGGTGTCTCGGCCACTCAGGAGTCCAAGGAGGGGACCCAGGCACTGGACCTTGTTACACGGGCACCGGGGATCACAGAAAATAAGAGAATCGTGGACAGAAAAAGTCATCCAACTCTGTTCTGTAGTCCAAGCATGGAAGCAACTTTGGGGAGGGCAGGGCAGCAGCCTTTGGAAGCTAAGAGAGATGTGGAGGAGGTGGGAGAAAGATGGGCCCTCAAAACACACACACACACACACACACACACACACACACACACACACACACACAAAACAAGATGGGCCCTCTTCCCCCGGCTTCCTGGAATCCAGATGGAAAGGGGTGGGAGACAGTAAAAGGAGAGGATGTGTGTGTGTGTGTGTGTGTGTGTGTGTGCGCGCGCACAGGTGGGTGTCCACCTGTTCTGTGCCTATAAACAGAGGAAGACAATGGAAGCCGTGAAAGGCCCTATCTATAGAAGTGGAAAGCCCTGGTGCCCTGTGGGAGCCAGAGAAGAAGCATTTTGGGGGAGGTGGGTGGGTTGGGGAAGCCTTCCTGGTCATGAAGGATTTAGCTAGCAGTGGAGGAAAGTGTGTTCCTATCAGAGGAAACCGTATGGGAAAAGGCAAAAATCTAAAAGCATCTCCAGTCCAAGAAATAGATCTTCAGTTTCTTAAAGATTATGACATGAAGGGAGGCATCAGTAACCTATACAAAATATTTAAATAGATTTCCCCTCTAAGCTTGAAGCTCCTAGGGTTTCTCTCCATCTCCCTAAAGTATAGCACAGGTCCTGGTGCATAGTAGGTGCTTGGTGAATGTTGATTGAATGAATAATTGGTGCTCCTGCCTCAATTTCTTCATCCATTCCCAAGAATTGTTGTGAGAATCAAATAGGATAATGTGGGTGAAAAGAACTTTGTAAACTGTAAAACAATGTACAAAGAGAGAGGCCACTGATGTTATTCTGCAGGTGTTCCTGTTTTGTCAGTGGACACACCCATGGCTATCTCTTTCCAATCTGGAGGAGGAAGGAAATGAATATCAAGCATCTGTTGGTGCAAGATGGAATGCTTTGAAAGCATCTTGTAGAATGCTAGACATTTAGTAGGTGCTCAATAAATGGTAGCTATTGTGATATTGTTTCTGTGGCTCTAGGAGACCTGGGAAAACAATGAGAAGGTGGTGATGGGTCAGCAGTGGGGAATGGTCTAAAGACAGATTGAATTAGAAAAGTAGAGTATGGCTTAAAGGAGGATGAGGTCCACATTTGCCCAACTCCCTTCTTATTCTCACTGAAATGCTCCAAGTAGGAAGACAGGGAATTACATTATTGAGCCCCTGCTATATTGCATATACAGTTGACCTTTGAACAGCATGGGTTTGAACTGTGTAGGTTCACTTATACCTGAATTTTTTTTTTCAACCAAACACTGATTAAAAAAAATACCATGGTGGGTCAAGCGCAGTGGCTCAAACCTGGAATCCCAGCTATTTGGGAGGCTGAGGTAGGAGGATCGCTTGAGCCCAGGAACCTGAAGCTACAGTGAGTTATGATCAGGCCACTGTACTCCATCCTGGGAAACAGAGTGACACCCATCTCTTAAAAAAGAAGAAAAAGAGAAGAAAATACAGTAGTGAAGGGAGGTGAAGTCTGTATATTCAGAGGACCAACTTTTAGTCTAGGTGGGTTCCACTGGGCCAACTGTGGTTCTTGAGTAGGCGTGGATTTCGGTATATATGGGGGTCCTGGAGCCAATCCCTTGCCTATACCAAGAAATTACTGTACTATTCTAGATGTATAACCCACATTACCTATAATTTTCCCAACAACACTTGTTTTATGAATGAGGAAACTGTCTTAATCATGTAACATTTCTTGCCAAGGTCTCATAGGTAATAAATGATAGACCTGGAAACTGAATCTAGTTTGTTTGATTTGGAGCTCCAAACTATTTCCACTACACAGGATGACTTGCTAGAAGAAACCATGAAGCACAGAGACAAACAAACAAACAAAATAAGGGGTTAATAAAACACCCTCCCATATACAGGTTTTAATTCTTGCAACAGTTTTGCCAGGAAGCCATTTTATGAGCTCCTTTTATAGATAAGGAAACTGAGGCCAGGGGTGTGATTTGCCTAAGTTTACAGGATCACTGAAAGAGCCAGGGCTTATCTTTCAAATGCCAGGTCTCTTGGACTCAGTCTCATGTTCTTTGCAACAAAAGGTAAGTTCCTTCATTCACTTCTTCACTCCATTTATTGAGCTGATCTCTTCTCGCTGGATTTTAGGGCTCTCTCCTCCTCCTCCCCGCTCTTTCCTGGCTGAAGTTGGCTTCTTCCTTAGGTGCTTATTTCTGCCGCCTATCAGACTGAAAGGGTTGTTTTTCACAGCCACCCTTTGAGGAGTCATTTCTTTCCCCCAGCCTGGGACAGGGACGACTTCCCAGATGGTCCCTGGGCCTTCATCTGTATTGCTTGTCACGGAGATAGCTCTATCATTTTATGTGACTGTCACAAAATAGAGGAAAGATTTGATTGATGCTTATCTTACAAATGCAATTCTGCATGCACCACTGTGCATGACCTGTCTGCTTAGATCTGCCTCAGGCAGCTGCCTGCTGGGATGCTTTTTGCCTGTCTTCCAAATGTCTGAGTAGCCCCTGGCCGCCCCCTCCTAAGAAGATCCCCTTGGGGGCTTCCATCTGAATGAGCCTTCCAACTGAACTCAGCTCTCTGCCTCTCCCCGTTCTCACACCACCTACTGGGAAAGCCATGCTGTGTGTGCATAAGCAGATGTTAACAGTGTGGTATGGCAAGTACAGTACGGTAGCAGGACACTCAGGATGTTGGGTATGCTTCTTTTTTTTAATTTTTATTTTTAGAGATAGGGTCTCACTCTGTCACCCAGGTTGGGATACAGTGGTGCAATCATAGCTCACTCTAACCTCGAACCTCTGGACTCAAGTGATTTTCCAGCCTCAGCCTCCCAAGTACCGAGGACTACAGGTGCACACCACCACATCCGACTAATTTAAACTTTTTTTGGCTGGGCGCGGTGGCTCACGCCTGTAATCCCAGCACTTTGGGAGGCCGAGGCAGGCGGATCACAAGGTCAGGAGACCGAGACCATCCTGGCTAACACGGTGAAACCCCATCTCTAGTAAAAATACAAAAAATTAGCCGGGTATGGTGGCGGGTGTCTGTAGTCCCAGCTACTCGGGAGGCTGAGGCAGGAGAATGGCGTGAACCCGGGAGGCGGAGCTTGCAGTGAGCTGAGATCGCGCCACTGCCCTCCAGCCTGGGCGACAGAGTGAGACTCTGCCTCAAAAAAAAAAAAAAAAAAAAAATTCGTAGAAATGGAATCTCACTATGTTTCCCAGGCTGGTTTTGAACTCCTGGCCTCAAGTGATTTTCCCATTTTGGCATCCCAAAGTGTTGGGATTACAGGCATGAGCCACCATGCCCAGCCAGGATGCTTCTTTATTCACCCTAAAATTGTTGTGGTTTTCGTTTTCCTTAATCCCGTCAAACCTGGAAGCCATTAGGTAACAGAAGTTCCATTCATGACCCTCCAACTGACTTGCTGTGTGAGCTTGGACAAATCACTTGTCTTTGCAGAGCCTCAATTTTTTTTTTTTTTTTTTACCTGTAAGATAAACGGAGGTAGATCAGGAACTGAAACAATTTTTTACTCTTGCCATCACTTCCTAGTCTCCTATCTGTGGCAGTCACAGCTAATAAAGGCAGGCAAATTTCTCACTGATTCTACACGAGGCTACATGTATTTTTCTCAGCACAGTGTATGAAACATACTTATATACGTTCTCTTATTTAAAATTCACAGCACCTCGTGAAGTAAGTATTATTGTCAGATGAGGACACTGAGGCATAGAATTTAAGTAACTAGGCCAAGTTTACACACTGAGTTACTGGGAAAGCTGGGCCCAGTAGCCAGGCTTTTTGTTACAATAAAAAGCTGCTACTCCAAAGTCCCCTCTAATTCTAGCAGTTTAAGAGTGTGAAGCTGGGCTACATCAGAAAAGTGAAAACCAGTAATCTGACATTTACACTGATAGTCTGGCACTTGAAAAATGCTCTATATGTGTTTCTTGAAAGACATAACACCCTCTAAGGATTTACTGTAGGTCTAGCGTTGACCAGATGTAAGGATGGATAAAGCCCCCTTGAATCCAGAAGAGAGAGCAAACAGTTAATTGTAAAACAGGCCCAAATAATGGAGCCACAATCAGGGAGAGGGCAGTTGAACAAGATTTGCCTGCAGAAGTGAATTAAAGGGGCCAGTGAAATAATATGTATTCAGTACCTCCATGGGCCGAGAAACTGTGTCAGATTGTTTACGTATAGTACTACTCTTTCTATTTGTACCAAGCTCTGTGAAGTAGGTGGTATTTTCTCTATTTTAAGGTAAAAGTGCTGTGGCTTAGAGAGGCAATATGACTTACCTAAGAATTCATCTGAGGGTAGAGCATTGATTTTAAACTTTTTCATAACACTGCAGGGTACTAAGTCTAGTCTCGGCTGTTAGCTATGAGATTTGGGCAAATCCTTTTAATTTCTCATTTTCAGTTTCCTTCTTGATCAAATGGAAATAATAATCCACGTCTTTCCAGCTTTATTTCCCAGGTTTATTTAGAGATAAAAGAAGATAAAGGATATGAAATTGTGGTAAAGATCACATTTATGTTTTAGTAGTGACTCTTTGACCAGCAATTCCACTTCAAGGAATCTCTCTCAAGGAAGTAATTAGGAAAATGTACAAAAATTTATGTAAAGAAATGTTCACTGCAGTTTCATGTATAATAATTAAGAGTAGAAAAACAACTTAAAAACAACTTCCTAAAGAGAGTGACAACATTAAATAATTGATCTGGCTGGGCCAACATGGTGAAACCCCATCTCTATTAAAAATACAAAAATTAGCCGGTGTGATGGTGAGCACCTGTAGTCCCAGCTACTTGGGAGGCTGAGGCAGGAGAATCGCTTGAACCCAGGAGTTGGAGGTTGCAGTGAGCCAAGATTGTGCCATTGCACTCCAGCCAGGGTGACAGAGCAAGACTCTGTCTCAAAAAAAAAAAAAAAAAAAAAGAATTGGTCTTATGACACATCTATAGGATGGAATATAATGTAGTCAACTGAAATGATGTTTTTTTAGAGTTTTCAAAGTCTCGTTCATGCTTTTTTTTTTTTTTTTTTTTTTTTTTTTTTTTTTAATTAGAGAGTCTCCACTGTTGCCTGGGCTGGAGTGCAGTGGCACAATCTCCGCTCACTGTAACCTCCGCCTGCCAGGTTCAAGTGATTCTCCTGCCTCAGCCTCCAGAGTAGCTGGGATTACAGGCAGCCACCACCACGCCCAGCGAATTTTTTGTATTTTTAGTAGAGATGGGGTTTCACCATGTTGGCCAGACTGGTCTCGAACTCCTGACCTCGTGATTCACCCGCCTCAGCCTCCCAAAGTGCTGGGATTACAGGCATGAGCCACCGCGCCCAGCCCTTACTTTCTTTTCTTTTTTTTTGAGACAGTGTCTTGCTCTGTCACCCAGACTGGAGTGTAGTTGTGCAATCTTGACTCACTGCAGCCTCCGCCTCCTGGGTTCAAGCAATTTTTGTGCTTCAGCCTCCTGACTAGCTGGAATTACAGGTGTGCGCCACCACACCTGGCTAATTTTTATATTTTTAGTAGAGACTGGATTTCACCATGTTGGCCAGGCTGATCTTAAACTCCTGAGCTCAAATGATCCGCCTGCCTCGGCCTCACAAAGTCCTGGGATTATGGGCCTGAGCCACGGCACCTGGCCTCAAAATCTCATATTTTTGTAGTACTTTTGGTACTACTAAATTTTTGTAGTATTTAAGTACAGTCTTGCATTGCTAATGACAAGGATATGTTCTGAGGGATGTGTCATTAGCCGATTTCATAGTTGTATGAACATCATAGAGTATACTTACACAAACCTATATGGTATATGGTATAGCTTACTATACACATAGTCTATATGGAATAGATAGCCTATTGCTCCTAGGCTGCAAACCTGTACAGCATGTTACTGTATTGAATGTAGCAGGCAATTGTAACACAGTGGTAAGTATTTGTGTAGCTAAACACATCTAAACATAGAAAAGGTACAGTAAAAATATGATGGTTTTTTTTTTTGAGACCAAGTCTGGCTCTATCACCCAAGCTGGAATGCAGTGGTGCAATCTCAGCTCACTGCAACCTCAGCCTCCCGAGTAGCTGGGATTACAGGTATCTGCCACCATGCCTGGCTAATTTTTTGTATTTTAATAGGGATGGAGTTTCATCATGTTGGCCAGGCTGGTCTCTATCTCCTGACCTCAAGTGATCCACCCACCTTGGCCTCCCAAAGTGCTGGGATTACAGGTGTGAGCCACTGCACCCAGGCATAATATGGTATAAGAGATAAAAAATGGTACACCTATATAAGACACTTAACCATGAATGGAGCTTGCAGGGCCGGCAGTTGCTCTGGGGGAGTCAGTGAGTGAGTGGTGAGTGAATGTGAAGGCCTAGGACATTACCATACACTATAGGAGACTTTATAAACACTCTACACTTAGGCTACACTAAATTTATTTAAAAATATGTTTCTCCAATAATAAATTAACTTTGGCTTACTATAACTTTTAAACCTTATAAACTTAAAAAATTTTTAAAACTTCTTAGACTCTTTTATTTTTTATTTATTATTATTATTATTATTTTTTTGAGATTGAGTCTTGCTCTGTCACCCAGGCTGGAGTGCAGTGGATCTCTGCTCACTGCAACCTCCACCTCCCGAGTTCAAGCAATTCTTGTGCCTCAGCCTCCTGAGTAGCTGGGATTACAGGTGCGCACCACCACGCCTGGCTAATTTTTGTATTTTTAGTAGAGATGAGGTTTCACCATGTTGGCTAGGCTGGTCTTGAACTCCTGACCTTAAGTGATCTGCCTGCCTCGGCCTCCCAAAGTCTGGGGTTACAGGTCTGAGCCACCATGCCCAGCCATAGACTCTTTTATAACAACACTTAACTTAAAGCACAAATACACCGTATGGCCTTTTTTGAGATGAAGGCTCAGTGTGTCACCTGGATTGGAATGCAGTGGTGCAATCATGGGTCACTGCAGCCTCAAACTCCTTGGCTTGAGCGATCCTCCCACCTTGGCCTCCCAAAGTGTTGGGATTATAGGTATGAGCCACTGAACCTGGCCTTTTCTTTCTTTTCTTCCTTAGTTTTTAAATTTATGTTTAAAATTATTTTGTTAAAAAGGAAGACACAAATACACACACCTGAGCTTAGGCCTACACAGGGTCCAGGAGCATCAATATCACTGCCTTCCATTTCCATGTCTTGTCCCACTGGAAGGTCTTCAGGGGCAATAATAGGCATGGAGCTGTCATCTCTTATGGCAATATCTTCTTCTGGAATACCTCCTGAAGGACCTGCCTGAGGCTGTTTTACTGTTAACTTTTTAAAAAATATTAAATATAAATAGAAAAAGTACACTCTAAAATAACAATAAAAAGTGTAGTAAGTAAATACAGAAGCCAGTAACATAGTCATTTATTATCAATATCAAGTATTATGTATAGCACATAATCATATGTGCTATACTTTTATACAACTGGCAATGCAGTAGGTTTGTTTACACCAGCATCAACACAAATATGTGAGTAATGTGTTGTGCTACAATGTTACCATGGCTACTATGTCACTAGGCAATAGGAATTTTTCAGCTCCATTATAATCTTATGGGACCGCCATTGTACATGTGGTCTGTCATTGACTGAAATGTTGTTATGCAGTTCATGATTGTACTTTTAAAATTTAAGTGATTTGCTAAATGATAACATACCATATATTCTAGCCTATACCTTGTACATATGATGTCAGCTATTACAATATGCATAGAAGGTATAGACTAGAATGCATGGTATGTTATTTATATAGAAATAAAAAGTATAAATAGGTCTCTTTGCTTATATATGCAAGGGCTATCTCTGAAGGATATATAAATTGATAACATGTATGCCTCTGGGGAGGGGAACTGGATCAGGAATCAGAGATGGAAGCAAGACTTACTTTTCAGTGTAAACCTTTAGGTTTCATATTACTTGTATTTTATGCTAGGAATTAAGAAAATAATGCAGCTGGGTGTGGTGGCTCTCGCCTGTAATTCTAGCACTTTGGGAGGCCACGGAGGGCAGATCACTTGATCCCGGTTTAAGACCAGCCTGGACAGCATGGTGAAACCCCATCTCTACAAAAAGTACAAAAATTAGCTGAGCATGGTGGCACATGCCTGTAGTCCCAGCTACTCGGGAGGCTGAGGTAAGAGGATTGCTTGAGCCCAGGAGATCAAGACTGTAGTGAGCCAAGATAGTGCCATTGCACTCCAGCCTGGGCGACAGAGAGAGACCCTGTCTCAAAATAAAATAAAATAAAATAAAAATAATAATAATTGAGCTACAGCTGGTAAAAAAGGTAATACTTGCAAATAGGATATGCTTGAATTATTTTCCGTAAGTATGTATTACCTTTTAAATTAACAAATAAAACATAGTATTAAAATAGATGGCTTTTTTTTAAAGTACAATTTCCATTTTATTTTTCTCCAGGAAATAGTCCATCTTCAGTCTTTAAGGACTCAGCTCCTTACATGGGCTTTGGTGGGGGTCGTGGGGCAGCACCTACAGGTCTAAATCAGGGTGGGGGTGTTTGGTCCTTGCGGGCTTCATGAGATCGATTCCTGACTACTTTGCTGTGAATTGCACAACTCGCATAGTAATGTAGCTTCACATACTGCTTGGGAAGCACATAGGCATCGAAGATGCTCACTTCAGAAATGTCCCTGACTGCTGTGGCCTCCACTATGTTTCAAATGACGAATTTCTTAATGGCCTTGTCCTTGGGCACACATTGGGCACAGTTCATCCAGTGAATAGGCTGCAAGTGGCTGCAGGCCTTTTTGGCATGACCATTGTTCCTTCTTTTCTTTGTCATCTTGGAGGCATGGACTGGAGAGAGGAGGTTTTTTTTTTTTTTTGGTAGAGACAGTCTTGCTCTGTTGCCCAAGCTGGAGTGCAGTGGCACAATCATGGTTTACTGCAGCTTCAAATTTCTGGGCTCAAATAATACTCCTGCTTCAGCCTCCCAAGCAGCTGGGATTATAGATGTGTGCCACCACGGCTGGCTAATTTTTTACTTTTTGTAGAAATGGGGTCTCCCTATGTTGCCCAGGCTGGTCTTGAACTCCTGGCCTGAAGCCATCCTCCCACTTTGGCCTCCCAAAGTTCTGGGATTACAGGTGTGAGCCACTGCACCTGGCCTTAGGTGGCACTCTTTTGTATGAAAAAATATTGGAGGAAATACAGTAAAATGTTAACAGCCATAGTTTCTGAGTGGGTGGGATGTCAGTTAATTTTTTTTTTGGGGGGGTGGAGTCTCGCTCTGTCGCGTAGGCTGAAGTGCAGTGGCCTGGATCTCAGCTCACTACAAGCTCCGCCTCCCTGGTTCACGCCATTTTCCTGCCTCAGCCTCCTGTAGCTGGGACTACAGGCACCCGCCACCACCCCTGGCCAATTTTTTGTATTTTTAGTAGAGATGGGGTTTCACCGTGTTAGCCAGGATGGTCTCGATCTCCTGACCTCGTGATCTGCCTGCCTCGGCCTCCCAAAGTGCTGGGATTACAGGCGTGAGCCACCGTGCCCAGCCGTCAGTTAATTTTAAATTCTCTTTTTTACACTTTTGCATAATATAATTTTCAAATTTTTTATAATGAATATATTCATAGTAGAAATTTTCTCTTGTGAATAAAGAAAGATGACTTGCAGGCAGCAGAGCGGAGGATGGTGTGAGGTTGTTGTGGTTGCTTCCCTTGTTTTTATGTAGAAAAAGCATAATGTGGCCAGGTGTGGTGGCTCACGCCTGTAATCCTAGCACTTTGGGAGGCTGAGGCAGGTGGATCACCTGAGGTCAGGAGTTCGAGACCAGCCTGGCCAACATGGCAAAACCCCGTCTCTACTAAAAATACAGAAATTAACTAGGCATGGTGGCAGATGCCTGTAATCCCAGCTACTTGGGAGGCTAAGGCAGGAGAATCGCTTGAACTCAGGGGGCAGAGGTTGCAGTGAGCCAAGGCTGCACCACTGCACTCCAGCCTGGGCGAAAAGAGCAAGACTCCATCTCAGAAAAAAAAAAAAAAAAAGCATAATGCCTTTACATGGCAAGTTCTTGCAACAGCCTTTGCACCTAGTACCATGAAAAGCTGAAAAGTTAAGGCTGTGAGACAGTTTAAGCAGCCAATGGCACCCTCCCTTCCAACCTCACTTTCTTCCTCCATGTAAGTGCTATGCCTCAGTCTCCAAGTGTCCTGGGCATGTTCCACACTTGCCTAGTGAGTCTTGTCATGGGGCAGATTGATACAGGGATGGAACTTACAGTCTCAGATAAGGATTGAGAGCTGGGAACAAAGGGAAGGAAGAACAGAGACCACAGGAGTCCAGTGGTGACATATGCAAGGAACTTTTATTAAAAGGCTGCTAACAATCTTACATATTTGTCTAACTTTTCTTCAAGAGAGCTTTAAACCTACATTAATCAGCTCCTTATCCTTACAGCTCATCTGAGAGGCCCAAAGAGCCACACCCACCAGCCTCATGCCCTTTCTTTGCCCTTGGGGAAAAAAACAGGAATTCCTAAAAAGAATGAAAACCCAGACACCATCACACTTGAATGCTGTCCTCCCACCCTCCTCTGACCACTCATCCAGCCATCTGGGTACCCTTGTGCTGAGAAGAAGGGGAGATTTCAGGTGGAGAAGCAGGGTACCTGAGGCTTCCAAGACATAGGAGAAGCAATTAAAGACTTAAATAAGACCATGTGACCAAGTGCTGAATTATGGAGTTCAGATTCGGGTGTTCTAGGAAAGCAGATGGTGACAGAACTGAGAAGGCTGGGGTCTCAGGAAAGGCCTGGCATGTATTAAATATTTGCTGAGTGAATGAGTGAACAAATAAAGGACCTAGGCTTTGAAGGCTTTGGAATAATAAGGACATATGTTCACATCTGTGTGGAATTTACCAGTTGATAATGGTTTCATCCATTGTTATCTCATTTGAGTCCTGTGATAGCCCTGTGAGAAGAGCAGGGTGGAAATTGTTCTCCCCATTTTCCAGATGAGGAGATTGAGCCCCAGAGTGATGAAGTGACTGTGATGAATTCAGCACACATTTCCTGAGTGCTTATTATGTGCTAGGATTCATGCTGGAAGCCAGACATGTAGGAATGAAGTCCATTAAGGCCCAGATGCTCATTCCAACAGTGCTGAAGTGATACAAGGGCTGTTACAGTGTTCTGGGAGCACAGGGAAGCTGGCACTTGATCTGGATCTCCAAGG